>NW_003315942.2:0-152874 GCF_000001405.40 Homo sapiens
GAATTCAGTCACAAGGCTACATCTAGCTGCAAGGGAGGCTGGGAAACGTCACCTAACTGTGTGCCCAGGAAGAAGAGAAAATGAGTTTTGGTGAATGACCAGCTAGCAGTGTGTGCCATTGTGCCTTAAACCTTGGCATGCTTATTTAATTTTCCTATAGTTCAGCTTTGTCATTTCAAAGTTGAGGATCATCGTGGCACCTCCTTCACAGGGCTATTGTAAGGATTAATTACATTAGTACTGTGAAGACCTTAGAACATTGCCTGGCTTTTTGTAAGCATCCCATAAAAGTTATCTACTATTGTTATTATTCTTGTAATCCTTAGGGACTCTGCTTTGATACTACTTCCTTACATGAAATCTTTCTTCTCCCTTTCCCCTCTGGCCCATTCTCTCTAGCACCATCATATTGTATTGTAGCTGTCTGTTTTCTGGTTGGTCCCTCCCCTAAATGCTTCTTGAGGATAAGGATTATGTTTAGCTACATTTTAAGTAACTAACATAGTCTCTGGCATATGATAGGTACTCACTAAATATTTGTTGAGGGAGTAAAGGAGAAAGTGATAAAGGTGAGAAGGAAAGCCACAAAGTGGATCAGTATCTTGTCATGGGGAGATCTGTGAAAGGACGGTTTGATAAATTGTCCCTTCATGGATTGTAGTCACCATCTTCCAGGTCCCAGAGGGTCACTTGGTACTGAAGTCTTATCAGCCTAGGGACCAAGGCTGCCTGCCCTTCATGCCCTGTGTGAGACACCGCTTCTGCACTGCCTCACGTCCTCTCAACCTACCTTTTCTCCAGTCCCTGCTGCAGCACCCAGCACCCAGAGAAGTGAATCTACTTTCCCTCACCTTGTAACTGAGTCTTTCAACTTTGAATGCATTTTAAAACTTTTTTCCTCTCTTTCTAGTCTTAAGATGTAACCTCGAAACTGAGTGTAGAAACTCTCTTTTCCTTAGTCTTAAAATATACCTTGAAATGTACTTTGAAACTCTGCTTCCCTCTCTTTCCCACCAGACTCTCCCTTGCACCATGGACACGTATCTAACTGTATACTTGTTAATAAATTCCAGGGGCTGATTTTACACAACAGCCAGGCAAGGAGACCCAGCTGCAGAATTCTCCCCTACTTGGAGATTACCTCATGACAGACATCTATAAACTGACTGCAACTGAGATGGCACCAGCCAGCACTCCAAGTGGACAACAACTCAAAATAACCCTTGGAAGAAGACATGCAGGCCTGTATCTTGTGTTACTCTGGCATGGTTCTCATACTAAGTATCCCCTTTTTATTTTTTATTTATTTTTAACATATTTTTTGAAACAGAGTCTCTCTCTGTTGCTCAGGCTGGAGTGCAGTGGTGTGAACATGGCTCACTGCAGCCTCAACTCCCAGGCTCAAGCAGTCCTCCCAACTCTTAGCCTCCAGAGTAGCTGGGACTACAGGTGTGCACCACCACATCTGGCTAATTTTTTTTGTATCTTTTGTAGAGATGGGTTTTCACTATGTTGCCCAGGCTAGTTTCAAACTCCTCGGTTCAAGCAATCGGACAGCCTCGGCCTCACAAAGTGCTGGGATTACAGGCATGAGCCACTGCGCCTGGCCAAGTCTCCCCCTTTAAAATCCCTTCCTTCAGTCTAACACTTGAAATGGTCTTTTGGAGGCACAAGCCTGGCCATTTCCCAATTGCTAGCATTTGAATAAAGTTGCTTTCCTTTTACTCGCTTCTCATATTTTGGCTCTCAAGTCATGAGCAGCCAGACTTGCATTCAGTCACAACGTGGCTGCCCTGCATCTCATTCTGCCCTGGGGTTGCTCTTGCTCAACTTCCTTGGACATTGTTAGAAATGTATTTTGACTGTCACATATGCAAGTATGCAAGTGCAAGGGAGTTGGCATCTCATGGGGCAATGTAACCACTGCAGGACATGAACTAGTTGATAAATATTCGTCTCTTCTGACTCTTGAGCAGATGATTCTGAAAGGGTGATGAACTCATCCTGGCTTTCCACGGATCTGAGTTTTCTCTGAGTTAGCACTGGAAATCCCATGTTGCTGTTGGTTACCTTAATTCTGAAATGCATTATGCAGGACTCCTTAGGGGGTCCCAGTGAGATCAAGTTCCAGTTTCCCACAGCTTAATAACACAGATTGTTTTGCCTTTTCCTGCATTTCTGGGATTACTTCCCAATATATACTGCCTTCACACAAGCTTGTGTCTTCGGCTCTGTTTTCTATGGGGAATCTAGCTGGTCTTTGAATTGGGCAATGCTTAGCTTATCTGTGCAGTGATGAGTGTTTCCAACTTTAGGAAACTTAAAAAGACAGAGGCAAGTGAAATAAGTCAGGGCCCCAAACAGCCAAATTATCACTTTCCTGACGTTGTTACAAAATTAGTCTGGAAGGTATGGCACTGTTCAAAGACAGTGTAATGAAATATTTATTATAAGGTTTAATTGCTTGAACAGCCAGATATAGAAAGGACTGCAGACAGATAGTCAGGAGACTTAACTTCTGGTCCCACTTTTAGTATTTAAAATCCTATGTGACCTTTGACACGCTTCTCCTTGGGCCTCAGTTTCTTCATCTCCAAATTCTTGGCTGCTACTCTGCTAAGATCAAGTGTACAAAATTAGGAGGTTAGGCTAGATTTTGCTTTTACCAGTTGTTCTATTGCAGCAGGTGCAGTTATACATGATGGGCAAAGGCTTGTGGGGTGTCAGGGGCCTTGTCCCTTCCTAGCGCCACTAGGGTTAATAGGCCTGGTGGCCTGTTTCATGTCCATTTCACTAGTTGAGCACATATTGAAGAAAGATTTTATATATGGGTCATAGTGGACCATGAAGAACTCCCAACTTATTTCCCTGACAACATTCTTTTTTTTCCTTTGAGACAGCCTTGCTTTGTTGCCCAGGCTGTAGTGCAGTGGCATGATTTCGGCTCACTGCAACCTCCGCCTCCCTGGTTCAAACAGTTCTCCTGCTTCAGCCTCCCAAGTAGCTGGGACTACAGGCATGTGCCACCATGCCTGGCTATTTTTTTTTTTGTATTTTAGTAGAGATGGGGTTTCACCATGTTGACCAGGCTGGTCTCGAACTCCTGACCTCAAGCGATCCACCCACCTCCGCCTCCCAGAGTGCTGAGATTACAGGCATGAACCACTGCACCCAGACCCCTGACAAGATTCTCGAGATTTAACAATCTCAAATCTTCTTTCCGCAGTGCCAACTAGACAAGATATCAGGGCCAAAAATATTTGGCTCTGAGATGTAAGAAAGGTCTTTCTAATTACTGTAGAACTTGAGGTCATGATCATCACAGCCAGTGGTGTGCTGCTCCTACCTGCTTGTAAAAGCCAGTTGCTAAATATTCAGGAATGTTTCAAGCCAAACAACCACTGGTAGCTTGAAATCAGTCATGGGGAGAGTATTGACACCACAGAAGTTGACAGATGCTACAAATCCATGTTCTCTCCACATCCACCCCTCCCTGAGCCAGTTTACCAGCAATTCCCCGCATCCAGCTCTTAACACTGGAAGTTTTTATCCAGGACTATGGCTAAATTAAATATGTGTGTCTTAAAAAGAATTTTTTTCCCTGCTTTTTGGTTTGTGGATACAAAGAGCTGAATCATTAAAACTTGTTTTTCTCTCCACCTCAACAGTGGCTTTCTTTATAGATTCTATGAATCTGAAAGATACAAGTTCCACCAGAGGTCTTGGTAGGGTTCCACAGCCCCAAGCTCTGCAGGTTCTGACAAAGGATAGGCTGGGCCCTGCCAGGAAAACTCACAGAACCACATCAAGGTGTTTGTGCTGCTGCTTTAAGAGTTTGTCCTCAAGACAAATAAGAGTTTGCCTATTTGGGGGCTTTGGAAATTTTTTTTTAGGATTTTGGAAGCCTGTTCTGTTACTTGCTAGTTGTGTTACTGGACAAGTTAGTTAACCTTGCTGATCCTGGGAAGTAATCTCAGGAAAGCAGGGAAAGGCAAAACAGCGTGTGTTATTAAGCTGTGGGAAACTGGGACTTGATGCCCCTGGGACTCTCTAAGCAGTCCTGCAAATTGCATTTCGGAATTAGGATAACCAACAGCAACACGGGATTTCCATGCTAAACCAGGGAAAACTCAGGTCCCTGGAAAGCCAGGATGAGTTCGTCACCCATTCAGAATCATCTGCCTAAGAGTCAGAAGAGGGGAACATTTATCCACTAGTTCATGCCCTGTAGTGGTTAAGTTGCCCCATGAGATGCCAACTCCCTTGCACTTGCATACTTGTATATGTTCAAGTATGGTGCACATGCTTGAGACAGGATCTCGCTCTGTTGCCCAGGCTGGAGTGCTCTGGCTTATCACGGCTCACTGCAGCCTCAACCACCCGGGCTCAAGTGATCCTTCCACCTCAGCCTCCTGAGTAGCTGGGACCACAGGCATGCATCACCATGCCTGGCTAACTTAAAAAATTTTTTTGTAGAGATGGAGTCTCACTATGTTGCCCAGCCTGGCCTCAAACTCCTGAACTCAAATGATTCTCCTACGTTGGCCTCCCAAAGTGCTGGGATTGCAGGAATAAGCCACTGTGCCCAGCCAACCTTGCTGAGCTTCACTTATATGTGGAATGGATGAGACCACTTCAGAGGGTTTATGGGTTTGTCATGAAGCTCAGGGAGCTTAAGGCTCAAGACACCTCACTTGTACAAGCTTCTCACAGGAGGGCTTTAGGTACACTGTATTTGTAATTTTCTAGTCTAAAGACCCCTGCCCTCTTCCCAAAATGTGTCATCTTCAGAGCTGCACAAACCTTGGATCTGATCCTGCTTGTGAGGATGAATCACGTGTAAAACACTTATTCTTGAGTCTGGCCCATTGTAAAAGCCTCAGAAATAGTCCTTGCTGTTGTCAGTGGAAGTACTTTCCCTCCATTATCACATATCCACATATTCTTTCTCCCACTGCCTAAATGTCAATGCCCATCCACGTCTGCTCAGAGTTTGCTTCTTTTCCTATAATGTCAGTTTCTTGCCAATCACTCCCCACTTGCCATTTTGCCAGTCTTATTCCATAAGGTGCATCTGCACTTCCTCACTGCGTCCTTTTTCATAATGGGAAAACAATGTCCAGCGATTATATTCTTCACAGAAGTGATGTGACAGCAAAGAGAGATCATAAATGAATCGCCTGAAGCTTGTTGGTGTGAGGGGGAAACCAAAGTCATATTAATACTTAACAAAACAAGCAACAGGACAGGAAAACAAAAGGTAATTAAGGCAAAGCTGTGATGTTTTGCCAGTTGTTAACATAAGAGGCCAATTGTCAGCTGACTGTGATGTAAAGACGCTTCCTTTAAGAGCATGTGTAATATGTATCTCAGAATCATCAAAGGGCTCTAAGTCACCCTAATAATGGGTCTGTACCACAAACAGAGAGAATGCAAACCACATTTTGTCTTAAAAGACACAGCAAATTGCACTGCAGCTGTAACAAGAATCTCAGAGTCATTTGCATTAACTGGGGATGAGTGAAGGGGCTAAGTGGAGTGTCTGTGTGCAACATGGCACTTCTTCCTTGACCTGTGAGAAAGGAACTTGACAGCCAGGCTCAGTGGCTCATGCCTGTAATCCCAGCACTCTGGGAGGCTGAGGCAGGTGGATCACGAGGTCAAGAGTTCAAGATCAGCCTGGCCAACACAGTGAAACCCCGTTTCTACTAAAAGTAAAAGAAAAAAAAATTAGCCGGGCATGGTGGCGGACGCCTGTAGTTCCAGCTACTTGGGAGGCTGAGGCAGGAGAATGGCATGAACCCGGGAGGCAGAGGTTGCAGCGAGCTGAGATCGTGCCACTGCACTCCAGCCTGGGAGACACAGCGAAACTCTGTCTCAAAAAACAAAAAAGGAAAGAAAAGAAAGGAACTTGACTTATATACACTTAGGTGCAGCCATCATTGAGGGCTTGTTGTGCAAGGTGCTATGGATGGTGATGAGTAAAACCAGGTGTCCTTTCTATTATGCTGTGCTGGAAGCTTCTTTGGCAAGTGAAGGGAGTGTGGCCTTTGGGATCAGATGAATCTGGTGGAATCCTGGCTCTGTGCTCAGCATATGATTTAGACATTTATGTAACCTTCTTGAGCCTCAAGTTTCCTCATCTGTAAAATGGTAACAATACTACCCATCTTACAGAATCACAGAGAGGATTAAATGGGAAAAAAAAGACAAAGTGTCTGAAATATAGCAAGTTCTTAATAAATATTAACTTTCTTACCCCCTTCTGGAGGCATAGAATCTTAGTGCAATCTTGGTACTCTCAGAAACTGTTTATGTAGCTCATCTGAATCTTATTTTTTTAGTAGTTGAAACATTTTGTCTTAATACAGAAGCAATACATATTTGTAGCACAAGAATTAGAATATTTATTTATATATATATTTATTTATTTTTGAGACCAAGTCTCACTCTGTTGCACAGGCTGGAGTTCAGTGGTGCAATCTCAGCTCACTGCAACCTCCACCTCCTGGGTTCAAGGGATTCTCCTGCCTCAGCCTCCTGAATAGCTGAGATTACAGGCGTGCACCACCATGCCCGGCTAATTTTGTATATTTTTAATAGAGCCAGGGTTTCACCATGTTGGCCAGGCTGGTCTTGAACTCCTGACCTCAAGTGATCCACCCGCCTCAGCCTCCCAAAGTGCTGGGATTACAGGGGTGAGCCACCGCGCCCGGCAAGAATTAGAATATTTAGATAAGAAAAAAATTCAAAATTACAAATAATTCTAATACGTTAACACCCTTGGGTGTATCCTTCCAGGACACTTTTATGCCTGTTAATACATACGTATTATTAAAAATATAATTATACAATACATATTATTTTATAACCTGCTTTGTTTTCATACGTTACGTCATTATGGGAAATCTTTGAAAAAATCTCTCCCATGAAAAGGCCAGCTAACAATTATGGGAAGTATGGGAAGTGGTTTCGATTAACATACTGTGACAACTATCTATTATTAAGAAAGTCACGACAAAATTTTGGTGCCCCTTTCCCAGATGAAGGCCACATAGCTGCTATAAGGGACAAGGACCAGTAATATCTTCAAATCCTCTTTTTGAAGTGCCTTCATTTAAAAATCATGCATTTTCTTTTAAGAGTTTTATAAAATCTAGGAGGAAACTTATCCCTTTGTGTTTAGAACAAGGCAAAAGAAATTTCTGATTGGATATTGTTATGGGCCCATGACTTCTGTTGCAGAGAAGGTAATAGAAAAAGGTAAAATACTTCTACGCTCTATAATTCACCTTGCTGGAAAAAAAACAACTGGATTGGCTTGACAGGGGCTTAGACGGGTGACCAGGTTACTGTTTGGTTGGTTGAGAGACGGAAGCAGTACAGAATGACAAAAGTGTGTGGTGGGCCACCGGCCACTGGTTCATCATAGCAGGACCTCAAACCAATGTCTAGTCCATGAATGTTTATATATGGGTTGGTATATGAAGGTGGATATTTGCAAACAAATGCTTAGTTTTAGTGTCAGGATTTTCTTCCTAATTAATGAAAAGAGACTGTATGTTTTCAAGTTCTGTAGGCCTAACTAGAAAGGAAAGAGTTCAGGATTTCAGATTGTGCTACTTTCACAAGATGTAGGTATATCTTTACCAAAACACACATGGCTATGCACATGTTCAAGTATCTTGTTATAAGAAGGGTGTGGTGTAAGTGGAAAAATTGCTTCTGTTATTCTTGTGAGGCAGTGTAACTTAGTGGTTAGAAGCACTGATTGAAGAGCAAGACTACCTAGTCTTGAATTCAGCTTCACCAACTGTTAGCTGGGCAATCTTGGGCAAGTTAGTTACTCTTTCTGAGTCTCTATTTTTCTTGACCTGTAAGAAAGGAAATTGATGGCCAGGAGTGGTGGCTCATGCCTGTAATCCCAGCACTTTGGGAGGTTTAGGCAGGCGGATCACAAGTTCAAGATCAGCCTGGCCAACACAGTGAAACCCCATCTCTACTGAAAGTAAAAGTAAAAAACAAAAAAAAACAAAAAAAGAAAAAACAAATTAGCTGGGCATGATGGTGGGTGCTGGGAGGCTGAGGCAGGAGAATGGCGTGAACCCGGGAGGCAGAGGTTGCAGTGAGCCGAGATCGTGCCACTGTCTTCTAGCTTTGAGACAGCGAAACTCTGTCTCAAAAAAAAAAAAAAAGAAAAAGAAAAGAAAGGAACATGACTTATGTATATTTAGGTGCAGCCATGATTGAGGGCTTGTTGTGCAAGCTGCTATGGATGGTCATGAGTAAAACTAGGTCTCCTTACTATTATGCTGTGCTGGAAGCTTCCTTATGGGTATAATAATAGTTGCTCCTATTAATGAGTATATCCACCTCATAGGGTTGTTGAAGGATTTGAAAAATATTTTAGAAAGTAACAACTTTCAGCATTTAGAACAGTGCCTAGTATATAATAGGAAGTATGTGTTAGCTATTGCCATTTTATTAGAGTTTTAACAGGTCAGTCCAACAGAACTGGCAATTTCCTGAGTGATACTTTTTTTTTTTCCTGGGACAGAGTGTTGCTCTGTTGCCCAGGCTGGAGTGTAGTGGTGTGATCTTGGCTAACTGCAACTTCTTCCTCCTGGGTTCAAGCCATTCTCCTGCCTCAGCCTCCAGGGTAGCTGGAATTATGAGAACGCACCAACACGCCCAGCTAATTATTGTATTTTAGTAGAGACGGGGGTTTCACTGTGTTGTCCAGGCTGGTCTCCAACTCCTGACCTCAAGTGATCTGCCCACCTCAGCCTCCCACAGTGCTGGGATTACAGGCGTGAGCTACTTTTAATTCATTCATTACTCAAACAACACGGTATCCTGGATGTCTATATATGGTTAGGCACTATGCTAGGCTCTGGGCAACTGAAAAAAAAATGCCAATATTCTATATCTTTGAAAAGTAAAAACTGACTACTCGTGTCTTCTCAAGAAGCTTTGTGACTGAGGTTATGCAGGTCTTTTTATCTAGAGTAGGCTTCCTGGAAGGAGGACAAGACTAGCTCACCTGCAAAGAACTCAGTCACTTATCAGGAATGAATGAAGTGCAGAGCGTATTGGGATTCCCTAACACCAACTCTTCCTGAACATGCACCTTTGTCAAACCTGCCACTGTCAGAGCTGCCGACACAGGCAATGGATGGGGACATCAGGACAGGGCTTGGGGTGGGAGCCTGCAGTTCCTGGAATTTGCCCTGCTGACCTCACACTAGGTGATTTTATCCTACTTCCCAGAAACTTTCCCCCAGTTAGTCTAAAGTTGGGATGAAGCTACAAATTATTTGCTCTGAAAATTCTGAGTCTATTCTAGAGTTAATTTCCTGTACATGTTACATGGTTTGCATTATTAGAAGGGCCAAGGGGCCCCGGCAGTGCATTCCTTTTCATTTTCTGTAAAAGGGATCTGTGGGACTCTTTCATCTTCCATTAATGATGAGAATGTGGAAAGGGGAGGGTGGGGTAAGAGAACTAACAATTATTGAGCACTTACTCTGTGCCAGGTACTTTGTACATGTTCCTGGCACAGAGTCAGTGCTCAATAATTATCGGTTTTTGGGGGAACTGAAACGAAAATCTGAGAGGCCAGGGGCCATGTTTTTGTCAATACGTCTATTTTGGCAATGAGCACATTACCATGTATATTGTCAGTGGTCCATGTTGTTGAATGATATGATTATACACATGTTATGTGTGCATATCCACCACCTATCTATGTATCATCACTTGTCTATCACTTATTGAATCTTAGCTAAAGCTCATGCTATTTAAAATTACAATTGCCTTGGTCTCAGTTGAATACCATCCCATAATTTCTATGTGAAACAATTGATTTTGTGATTTCTATTTCATAATTGCAGAATTAACTAATTTATTATTCAAGTCCTTTGAACTTAAAGATGTTTTCAGTAGTGTGGATTGAATATATCTATGGGTTTGATGAAATTAACTTTTTTTTTTTTTATGAGACGGAGTTTCACTCTTGTTTCCCAGGCTGGAGTGCAGTGGCGCAATCTTGGCTCACTGCAACCTCTGCCTCCTGGGTTCGAGCAATTCTCCTGCCTCAGCCTCCTAAGTAGCTGGGATTACAGGCGCCCGCCACCATGCTCGGCTAATTTTTTGTATTTTTAGTAGAGACGGGATTTCATCATGTTGGCCAGGCTGGTCTCGAAGTCCCGACCTCAGGTGATCCCCCTACCTCGGCCTCCCAAAGTGCAGGGATTACAGGCATAAGCCACTGTGCTCGGCCGAAAGTAACTTTTAATTGTGATAATTACATTGCCCTTATTTCCATTACGCATGAAACAGAACTCCTCTGTCTTCTTATGGTAAAATTTTGGCACTGAAGACCAGTTGAAGATGAAGGATGCATCTTGGTAAGTTGAAAGAGGAGAGAGAGTGGGGCCAGGGAAGCCACAGTGGGCAACAGATTGGCATCCCAGCTTTCACCCCTCTCTATCATTCTTAGGTATTTCAGGTCAGAATTAAGAGGAACTAATTGGAGATATCATCTTCTTGGAATTGTTTGTGCCTCATAACACTTTAAAAATGCATTGACGCAGTGATTTCTGAAGTTCAGTCATTTGTGTATTGCCTTCACGAATTTTGCTATACCTTTGAATCACCTGTACTCATACTGACTTGAGTTTTTAATCATCTCACTTTCTTAAAATTAAATACTTTTCTTTTTTGGGAAGAGGATCTCATATTATTACTTTTTAAAAAATCTCTTTTTCCACACGTTCTAGTTATATCATTACTATAAAATTGAAGACAGGCTTCACTTGTTAAAAACTGAATGTAACTATAAAATTCAATCCAAGAAAAACAAAGAAAATGTTAGACAAAATTTTAGCTAAGCCTTATTTTTCTTGGACTTGAAGCCTAAGTTTTGCTCCCTGTCAGAGGGTTGCTAAAAGACCAGCAGCAAACTGAGAGTTTACCTTGGAGGTAATCAGAAAGAAAAAATAATTTTAAGGGGAATAACTTTCTCCCCCATATAATTCGGTGTATTTTAATGCCTGGTTGAGCCACTGTAATACTATGGAAGATTATGTCATCTTCCGTAATACACATTATCTCACACATGGCAAAACACTTCATGAGAAGAGAAACTGACATCTCATGATTTTGACCTTCACCACATATACAAGTTTTTTTGTTAGAAATATCACTCACGAAAAATGGATGAAGTAGTCTTCCATGCAGAAGTTTGGACATTTCAATTTAATGTCTCTGGTAAAGATTTTCCAGTTAAAAGCACATTGACCACAATGTTTCGTCTTCTCTTTAACACTGAAAAGGGGAGGAACGGCCTTATTAGCAGTCAATACTATCAAAGTCAATGGAGGCAAGGGACCAATGGCCCATCATAGTCCTAATATCACTTACTGTTTTCGAAGGAGGACATCTTTCATAGTGGTATCTACCATCTCTTGGGGAGAAGAGCAGGAATGGATAGATTAACCTCTTCCAGACATCTGCTCACAGTCCCGATGCGGTTTCTGACTTAGAGGGTTTTTCTTAGAGATCTTCTCTGCTGTCCTCTGCAGCTGTCAGGGCATTCTCCAGATGGGGCCTGGTAGGAGTCCTTGAATTGACTCAGGTCCCACATCTCCCTGCAGTTCATTTATGCTTCAGGTCAAGGGTCACAAATATTCACTTGATAAGGGATGACAGATTAGTCACAGCTAGCTGCTGAAAGTGGAGTTGCATGAAGTGCACATTTAGCTTGCATGAGGGAGAGCACAAATTGGAAACTTATCAAAATTGCCTTGGTGGGTCTCTTTCAAGGCTTCTTTGGAGGCTGCTCTCAGATCTATTACCTCTGGAAATTCTTGAGGACTTTTAAAAATACAATGACATCTCATCTCTTCTTAAATTCTGTCTAGTGGACAATTTGTGAGGGGTGTATGTGGGAATCTGCAATTGAATTCTTCCTCAGGTACGGTGAGTTGGGCCTCATTCCAGCTCCACCGCCATCATCATCAGAATCCTAGTGGGAATTTCCCTTCCTCAGAAGACTGAAACTCCACCTGTGCTGGTAATGCCAGGCCCCCTACATAGCTCCAGTCTATTACCTCAAGGGAACACAAAGGCACACTCTTACAATATATATTTACACCTGAGCTTGTAAATATGACAGCTAAGAATCAGAAATGTTGTTTTACTTAAATGGGCTTGTCAGTAGATTGGGAGTATATTGTATTCCAAGGAAATGCTTTTTAGATGTAATTTTAGGTACAAACTCTGGATTTTCCTTCACGTACAAAAATTAAAACTTTGATTACACACTAGCAGAAATGACAGCAGTAAGAGTTTTTTTATTTTAATTGTATTTATTAAACAATTAGGAAACACTGTATACTTTCTAATTGTTCTAAGTTGCTTTATAATTCTTAATTCATTTCAACTCTATTACAACCTTATGATCACCTACTATGTGACTGTAAAGCACTGTACTTTATTACATTAGCTCTAATTCTTACAATCATCCTTGAAGGTAGTTAGTACTCCCATTGTTATGAATGACCACTCTTCAGAAGCAGGAGGGACCCTCATCCAAATTTGATTTGGATGTCAAAACTGATGATGCCACACATCCACCTCACATAGGTATGAAAACTATTATTCACATAATGAGGCTTTCTGGGGATAGCAGTGTGGTTTCCAAGCAGATAAAAAAAAATGGCTTGAGAGAGAGCACAGAAAGGAGACTGGCTTAGGGTTTGTTTTGTTGGTGGTTGAGGTGGGGCCAGGGTGAGGGTTCCCACACATGGTTTGAAGTTGCCATGCAGCTTCCTAGTAGCAAAGGAGGGAATATCCTGGTTTTCTTATCAGTTCTCCTGGATATGGGCAGATGAGGAAGAGGGAGGGGTAAGGCTTAAAAGCTGGCAGTAGTCAAAAGTCAAAAAATGGAGTCAGATTCCTTATTATACCCATTTTACCAATGAAGAAACTGCGATTCTAGGATATCATGCATTGTGTCAGGCATGACTTTAGTGCAGTAATTCTCTGTGAAACTTAGCCCCACACTGCACTGTACTGTGGTCTTGGAGAAGTAGAAGCAATAGGAAATACACACACACACACACACACACACACACACACACACACACACACACACACAGTGATTTACTATAAGGAATTAGCTCACATGATTAAGGAGCCTGAGAAGTCCAAGATCTGCATTCAGCAAGACAGAGACCCAGGGGAGTTAATGGTATAAGTTCCAGTCAGAGTCTAAAGGCAGGAGAAAATTGATGATGTCTCAGCTTGAAGACAGTCAGGCAAAGAGAAATAATTCTTTCTTACTCAATCTTTTAATCTATTCGGGCCTTCAATGAATTGGATGAGGCCCACCCACATTGGGGATGGCCATCTGCTTTACTCAGTCTACCTATTCAAGTGTTAATCTCATCCAGAAACACCCTCACAGACACACTCAGCAGTAATATTCAGCCAAATATCTGGCTATTTCATGACCCATACAAGTTGATATATGCAGATAACCATCACAGTATCCACCTTGAAAATGCACATCCCTTATTATTGAAGGGGAGTGGGAGGCAGAGGAAATCCTAAACACCATTGCAAATCTATATATTCTAGAGAGACTATGAAAGCAATGTAGCTTGGCATGGTGGAAGGAGCATGGTCTTTGGGATCAGAAGATTTGGTTATAATTTGGCTTTGCCATTTATTGGCTGTGTTATCTTGAAAATTGCTTAGCCTTACTGAGTTTTAGTGATACAGAACATCTCCAGTGACATGCAAATTTATAAAACATCCCATTCTATTTTGGGGGTCTCCATTGGAAAGCTCTTTCTTAAATAATGGCATTTCCCTATATTAGGTTTGGGGTGCATACATAGTCTCTACTGGTATATCAAGGCAAGTTACCAGGAATTCCAATGTATAAGGACACAGCTGGCCATCTGGAACAAATATTGGAAGGGATTTTGGAGAACAGAGGTTAGATCCAGGGGCAATAAGGTCCAGACTCTTCACAAGAGATGAGATGAAGGCCATGCTCTGCCTATTTAGGAATCCACAGGACACTGAGAGTTACCCCAAGACAAGAGAAAGTTCAAATACCCAAGACATTGATTGACTACTGGCAATAGTTTTTGGCACAACCCTGGGATTTGCTGCCCAAATGTTGTTTCAGTCTTGTCCCAGGAGAGCTCAGTTCTCAGGCTGGCTCCACAGCCTACCATGTTAGCAAGCCCAAAAGTGAATATGTCTTTTGTAATTTTTCCAGCAAAAATTCCAGGGCTGACTCTCATTGATCCAAATTTGGTCACAGGCCCATCCATGAATCAATTGCTGTGACCAATTTACTAGGCCTGAGTCACTGGTCTGTCCACCCCAGGTGTCTTGTGGTCAGCTCACCTGAACAGCACGGACTGAGACCCAAGAAAAACTGATGCACTGTTACTAAAAAAGTGAGGAAGTGAGGCTGAGTAGGCAAAACAGCAGATGTCCATTACAGGAAAGATCTCCAAAATGTAACCTCACTCATTTTTTCTGTATGTGTAACTCTGTGTGAACTTAGCGCCTGCCCCAAGGGTGGCATTTACTTAGACTGTGATGAAAATAGAGACCCTGGATTTGTGCAGTGCTCTGTCTTCCCCCCTCTCTTTCTGCTACCACGATTTCTCCAACTTCTGGTTGTATCAGGTTTCAGCTAAGGGAGGGAAGACATGACTTAACGCATAGGCTTCCATAGAGATTCCATACTGGGACTTCAAATAGGTCACACTACTGGTGAGTCCCAGCACACAGATCCTAGTGCCAAGATACTCATGCTGTTGATTCAGAACTTCCAGACATACATGTGCTTCCTCTGACAGGGAAGGCTGCTACTACCTATATCTTCTGAATTGGTTCATATTAATCATAGGTCATGTGTACCACTGGTAACAATAGTCATCGTTTAGTGAATGTTTACAAGTGAGAACACTGCCTATTCATAAGCTTGAAATTATCTGTGAATTTGGGAATGTGTGCCAGCCGTAAGCTGACCAGACATACTTACTGGTCATTAATCAACAGGGTTTTGTTTCCTTATCCCTATGTTTGACTGAGACAAATTCCTCTCCCTACATCACTCAAATGTGGATACAGAAGTCTTCTCCCCTTCCTATTTATAACCTCAAAAGGTTGCAATTTGGACTGGAGGTAAGGAGGAGATAAAGTACTTACAAACTACTTGTGGAATTCCCCCAGTCCCCTCCACCCCCTGCTTTTTCCCTGTGTCTTGACCAAAAATCACAGAGTACCTTGATCACACTATGACACAACCAGCAGCAGGCTTTTCCCAGCAGGCTTGACACCAGGGCTTTGAACATTCCCAGGCCCTCATACAGGTATCAAGGTTTACGAGGAAGAAACTGGTCCTAGCCTTAGCCCAAATCCTTAAACCTTTATATAAACTCCATGCCCTGACCTCCTCACAGCAGACATAACTAGATAGAACACCGTTGTCTCTTGCTGTTTGTTGCAAAGATTGCTACAGCCTTCTCTGTGCCTAAGTTTTTCTAATCAATGCTTTGGATGGATCAAAAAGAAAAAAAAGAATTTATAACTAAAAGGAAAATATTGTGTACTATATATTATATATAGCATATATAATATATAATCTGTATAAAATACATGTAACATATAATCCATTGTATGTTATATGTAATTTTTATGGAAATACAACAAATTATAAGTATAATAATTATGTATGTTACATATATATATATTTTTTCACGTTTTTAACTTGAGGTTTAAGTACCTGTGATCTTTTTTTTTTTTTTTTTTTTTTGAGACAGAATCTAGCTCTGTCATCCAGGCTGCAGGGCAGTGGCTTGATCTCGGCTCACTGCAAGCTCCACCCCCTGGGTTCACGCCATTCTCCTGCCTCAGCCTCCAGAATAGCTGGGACTCTAGGCGCCCGCCACCACGCCCGGCTAATTTTTTGTGTTTTTAGTAGAGATGGGGTTTCACCATGTTAGCCAGGATGGTCTCGATCTCCTGACCTTGTGATCCGCCTGCCTCGGCCTCCCATAGTGCTGGGATTACAGGCATGAGCCACCGCGCCCAGCCTATCTGTGATCTTAACCAATTTATCTTGCCTTTTCTGATGCATGACTAAGAACTTATGGGGAATTCAAATAGATCACTAATATAAAGACAATTTAAAGTGCTTGACTTGCCAGTGTTCTTATAGCAAAACTTTCATAAAGTTTATGACACTTCTTTGATTTCTAAGGTTTTAGGGGTACAGGCATATCTTATTATAGAGTATTTTTCCTCTTTCATTTAAAGATTTAATTTACTACGCATCATTTCCAAGCTCCTTGACCTTTTCTGGATCCCCACCACCACCTGCCCTAATGGATACTGACACCAGCTGTGAATATGTATAATATAAACTGGCCAAAACACATGGCCTGGGCAGGTTAATAACTTGCTGCCCCTTCAAACTGATATTATTTAAATTTGTATTTAACACTTGAACACTGTCATAGGCTGATCCTAAAATGAACCCCAATAATCCATGCCTCTTGGTAGTTATGCCCTGTGTAATCTCCTCCCCATGAGTGTGGGCTGACCTAGCAACTTGCTTTTAACTACTATAAAATAGCAACAGTGATGGGCTGTCATTTCTGTGATGGTGTTACATAAGAGTTTTACTTCTGTTTTATTAACAGACCCTCTCAATGCCTTCTCAGCTTGCATACTTTGATGAAACAAGCAGCTGGGTTAAGAGATGTCCATGTCGCAAGGAAATGAGGGCAGCCTCCATCAACAGCCAGCAAACAACTGAGGCTCTCAGTCTGACAGCCCATGAGTAACTGAATCCTGCCAACAAGCATGCAAGCTTGGAAGCAGATCCTTCCCCAGTCAAGCTTTTGAATGCAACCTCAGCCCCTGCTGACACTTAATGGTGCCTTGTGAGGGCCCTGTAGGCAGTGGAGCAAGCTAAGCTGTACCTGGATTCATGACCCACACAAACTGGGAGGCAACAAATGTGTGTTGTTTTACACCACAAAATTTGTGGTAATTTGTTACACAGTGACAGATTAATACAAGTACTGAGTGGGGAAGGTTGCATATACCATTCAGCCAAAGCTCTCTTGTTAACTGGAACCACCCTAATTACAAGATAATTTAATGAATGACTGTGTTACCTGAACACACCCTTCAGAGACCCCATCACTTGCATGAGTCAGAGCTCTATGGGCTTCAAGTGACAGAAATCCATTCTAATTAGCTTAAGTAAAAAAGGGATTTGTTGATTTACATACCTGAGAGGCCAAGGGTGTACCAAGCACCCTCAATTTCAGATCTACTAAAAAGGACTCTGACTGGCCCTTTTTAGATACATGCCAATCATTAAAGATTTAATGTATCTATAATAAGATACTATATAATAAGATATTAGGACCAATCATTGTGTCTAGTTGGATAGAGTTCTCTGAGTGGTTGGCTTGGGTTTCATGCCTACCCTTGCGGTGGAGAAGGGGAGAAGAACATTACATTTGAAAGCCTTATCATGTAATATACAGATAGTTACCCAAAGAAATTTTTTTTTTTTTTTGCTCTAAAAAGGCGAGAATGTACACAGGGCAGGCAGGCAAAACAACAGCTGTCTACTATACTGCCTACTACCCAGCTGGGAGGCAAAGTGACTCCATCTTGGATGCTAACCTGCCATGTTGACTTCTGATTAGCCACAATCCTGTGAATATCTCCTGATTCCTACTTTATTTACTGTTTGTGTATAAGAACATGTCAACCTTGATGTTATCACACACATTTTTGCCTGTTTGGGAGGGTCGCCTTTAATTGTCTTGCTGGAGCATGTATACCATTTTCCTGTCATATTCATATATAAGCCTTGGGTCAGCAGAGTAACAGTGCAAAGATTTACCTGTCTTGTGGCTGCCTAAGACCACACTTCTATCTGTAAGTTCCCCCAATAAAACACTCTTTGCCAACAAACTGGATTTGTCTGTCTTGTTCTTTGGTTTCTCAGCTCCTTTGGCACTTGAGGGCCAATTTGTATATATGGCCCTTTCACAGAACATCAGCATCTCATGAAAATATTGCTTCCCATCACATACAAACTTCTCTTCCAAAGACATTCTGGTAAATGTGGAATATTGGGTCTCTTTAGAATTCCAGTGATTTTAGACATTTTTTATTGAATTATATAATATTCACATATCCTAAGAGTACAAATAGATGAATTTTCACGAACTGAGTTCATCTTAAACCACCATCCAGATGAAGGCACATTACCGTTATGGGATCTTTGGGATGTCGCTTTTCTGGCTGGAAACCTCTGTGGCCGTTGGTGCCTTTGCCTGAGTTCTTGTCCTGCATCCAGGAAGAATGAAGTATGCAGACAAGTGGAGGGTGAACAAGATAAAGAGGAGCTTTATTGAGTGTGAGAATAGCTCAGAGGAGACCTGCAGTGGGTAGCACCTCTCTGTAGGCAGGCTGTCCCACCGAGTAATCGGCTCTCAGCAGAAAGGAGGCCCTGGAGAGGGTGGCCTCTCTCTGCCAGCTGGTCATCCTGTCACCTCTGCAGCTCTTAGCAGAGAGGGTAGCTCCTCGGTGCATCTGGTCACCTCATATCCCGCTATCAGCAGAGACAGTAGCTCATCTCTACAGAATGGTCATGCCATCATCTCTCTATTCTCTGCCCTGCTCTGGCTGAGCCTGGGGTTTTTATGGACCTCAGAGGGGAGGAAGTGCACAGCAACTGGTCCATGGGCAACCATGGATGGGCCAGAAAAGGCACCACAGGTCCCCACTCTGGTACGTGGGTCTGGAAGCCCTGCCCTCAGCCTTTGGGACCTCCCTGGTCTGAAGGTGGAGCCTTATGGAGGACCCATCTCCTTCTGCCCAGGAATCTGTCTGCCTCCTGCTGTTGTTCATGGCTGCCTAGACTCAGCCCCAACGTTGTTCCAAGATTGGAGCCAGCACCAACAGCAGGGAAAAACTAGGCAGCAGGACAGGTTCTTTGGAGCCTGCAAGGGCAGGGGGCCTTCCTAGGCCCACAATAGTGCAGGGATGCCTGAGGCTGCAGCCTGGCCCAGGAGGGTGGGGCTCCCACCTGCTCCGTGGAGTTGGAGGCTTGGGTCTGCAGCGGTGGTTTGGGTGGCTGCAGCGGTACTCCAGGAGCTCCTGCCCTAATTTGCAAGGGGTGGGGCTCTTGCTTGTCCCCGGCTCCTGCCGACTCCATGGAACATGCAGCCCCAGGCTGCCTGCCATCTGCAGCCAGTGTGATGACAGCAGTAAGCCATCTGGAGTGGCCACTGCCATCATTACTGACACCACAGAAGCCCTGCTTTATGCTTCTTTTCTGTTCTTATCCACATCCCTCTCCCCCATTCCAGGACAACCACTGTCCTGACTTCTACCAACATTGATTAGTGTTTCCTACTTTTATATTTTATGTGAAGGGAACAATACCACATTCTCTGTTTTGTATTTGGCTTTTTTGCTTAACATTATGTTTCTAAGTTTCATCCATATTGTTGTAGTTCTAGATTTGTTCACATTTCTGCATAGAATTCCATCGTGTGAATATATGACAATTTATTTATCCATTCTACCGTCTATGGGCACTTGGGAAATTTCCACTTGGGGACTATTATTTAAAGTGCTGCTACAAACATGTTAGTGCTTGTCTTTCTGTGAACACATGTATGCATTGGCATACACATATGAGAATTTCTGGGTCTTAGGGATGGCATATGTTCAGCTTTAGTAGATGCTGCCAAACTGTTTTCCCAAGAGGTTGTATTAACTTACAATGCTACCGATAGCATATGTGGATTCTGGTTGCTGCACATCTTTGTCAAGACGTGGC
Organism: Homo sapiens; assembly: GCF_000001405.40. Lineage (NCBI taxonomy): Eukaryota > Metazoa > Chordata > Mammalia > Primates > Hominidae > Homo > Homo sapiens. Next base: position 19,910 of record NW_003315942.2, read on the forward strand.
ATTTTACATCTTTTTTATTTTAACCATTCTGGTGGGTAAGTACTAATATCATCCCATTATGGTTTTAATTTGCAATTCCCTGATGACTGATGAAGAGGAACACTTTTTAATAAACATTTTAGCTATTTGAATATCCTCTTGTTTTTTTGTAAATCTTTTGGTAATTGTTCTGTTGAGTGTCTTTTTTCTTATCGATTTGTAGAAATTCTTTATAAATTCTGGTTAGGAGTGACTCATCTAATATAATTATTGCAAATATTGTCTGCAACTTTATGGTCGCTTTTTCATCTTGATGGCTTTTGATGAACAGAGTTCTCAATTTTAACATAATCTATACTTTTTTCTACCTTTTATATTTAGTGTTTTATTGCGTCCTGTCTAAGAAAATGTGGCCACCTCCGAATTTAATTCCAGTGATGTCTTATCATATCTAAGTGATATTTTAAGGACCACACGTTCAGGCGACATCAATCATAGACAGTAAGACAGGTTGATAGTTCAGTTACCTTTGAAAGAGGCTTAATTTTTAAATTTCCATATAGAACCCAATAGCCAACAAATATGTCTTGGGATGTCACATTTCAGTAAAATATTGCTTCCACCTTCCTTATTTTTTTGAGTCACAGCTTAACCGTCAAGTTTAGAGGAAAACTCAAAATGTTCTTTACTCAACTTTTCCTTTTCTTTCAGAGACAGCTTGGCCTAAAGAAAAAAGCACCCATTTAGTACAATGGGCTTGTGTCTGATGCTATTTAATAGCAAATCACTTTCTGTCTCCTAACCATAGTAACCACGTCTGCAAAAGTTGAAGAATAATTCCTGCTATGTCAATATTGCAGTGTTGTTATGAAAATAACAACAATAACAATAGGATGAAAAAGTGCCTGCAATGCAGTGATACTTTATGAAGTAGCGCACTGCCAAGAATGTTGGTGAATAAGAGTGACTGTAACACAGAGTCTGAGGCTTATAGCCTATCGTGGTGACAGGAAGGTACCATAACCAAAATTTTCAAGGAGAAAGTTAATCTACCAGAGATTAACTCTTTTGATTATCTCTGGAGAAGTGTTCCTTCTTGTACCATTCTTCCAAAGCACAGCCAAAGGCTTTATAAGTTTATATGCAAATAATAAAATCACACAACCAAATCTGTAAAAGATTCAGCAGGTGAATGTCAATCTTTAATATGATACTAACATTTATACTGTACACAAACCTATGGCTCTGTTTTGTTAGTTCCTGCTCAGAATCTGACTACCTTTTTCACTGAATATTTTGGAAAGCTAACTACTCTTTCAAATCCTGCCTTTTGACCAGGTACAGTGGCTCATGCCTGTTATCTCACCTACTCTGGAGGCTGAGGTGGGAGGATCACTTGAGCCCAGGAGACTGCAGTGAGCTAGGATTGCACTACTGCCCTCCAGCCTGGGCAACAGAGTGAGAGTCTGTCTCAAAATAAAAATAAAAATAATAAAATTCTGCCACTGATTAAACCCATTTTCAAAAATTCTTTAAGCATTTCTGTGAGAGACAGTTTACAAGACCCATGAGAAAACCTGTTTACTTTATAGTGTTATTTTTAACCAAAAGTGGCATTATCCTTCTTGACATCAGACTTCACTTTGAAAGACTTTAGACTGTGTCTAAAATCACAGCCACCATCCAAGCAAGGTTGGCATCAGTCAAGTTGTTTACATACAAGTGCACAGACATAGGGTTTCTGGAGTTAAAAAAAAAACCAACCAACCAACCAAACCATCCCCCTCTTCCACCAAATTCCAGGACACCCAGTTAAATTTGAATTTCAGATAAACAGTGAATAATTTTTCATTATAATTTATGTCCCATGCTTATAACAAATTCAAATTAACTGGGCACTTGTATTTTGTCTGGCAGCCCGACCCAGGGCTGAAAATAATTCTAGAAGAAGAGTTTCTGAAACTGCTTTGTTAATGGCAGCATTATGAGACTAGAATATAGTCTCTCAAGGCAACAGCCCTCATTTACACATCTAAATTATGAGATCCTTTTTTAAGAAAGGGGATCACCTGATCTTTCTGTAAGACTTCATTACATTGTAGTCAAGAAAAGGACACATTAGCAGGTAGCAAGCAAAAAAGTATGTGAATTTCATTAGTGTTCATTGTTTGTTACACCTTGACCAGGCTCTTAAATTAGCAAATAAGCAGTTCCTTATAACCTTTCCAAAATCTACCTATGTTTATTTAAGTTGAGTCAGATCAACTGGTTTTACTCAAATATTGTAAGGAATAATGAATAAAACAAATAGAAAAGTTATGCTACCACAACAACAAACAAAAAGGGAAATTCCCCATTGAAGATTGGTCTGTGAGGACCACTTCCTGGTCTTAACTTTGCTTCCTCTGACTCCATTGGTAGAGAGGTACGCAAATTTCTAAGGGAGCACCCTAGTGCCTCATAACTCTTTGGTTTAACCATCATCTAGTAATAGCCACCTGTCATTAAAAAACCCAAGCAGTGAAACACTGCCAACACATGGAAGGCGTATAGAACTGAGAGGGCTGAGGCTGTCAGGCATGGGAACAGGTATTTTTGTATCCTTTCAAATATTTCAGTAGTGCTTATTATATAGTCAGTGTCTTCCTGACACAGTATGCCTTCTATTCTCAACATGAATTTCCTTAGAGTCACTTTTCTTTGTGCTTTTGATAGTTTCCAGTTTTATTTTTATTTATTTATTTATATATATATATTTATTTATTTTCTATTTATTTTATTATTATTATACTTTAAGTTTTAGGGTACATGTGCACAATGTGCAGGTTAGTTACATATGTATACATGTGCCATGCTGGTGTGCTGCACCCATTAACTCGTCATTTAGCATTAGGTATATCTCCTAATGTTATCCCTCCCCCTTCCCCCCACCCCACAACAGTCCCCAGAGTGTGCTGTTCCCCTTCCTGTTTTATTTTTAAAAGGGAGAACTCACCTTTCTGTAAAAGAACATCAATAGAAGAATTTTGCCAGAAAGAAAGAAAGGCAAGACAGAGTCTTTTCTAATTCTGTTAATGGAAATGTCTTTTTTAAAAAATACACAGGCTTTCTTTGATTAGTCAATTTTTTTCCCCAAGAGTTGTATCTCACTGAGTACAGTTTTTTTATTCAAGAGTTGTATCTCACAGTGAGAAAGAAAGAAAGAAAGAAAGAAAGAAGGAAAAAAACTTGAAATAAAGAAACTTGAAAGAAGGTTGAGAATTGTTACTTATTTGCAAATCTTGAGTTTTGGCCTGAGAGTGGAGAGTAATTGGAACATTGAAGATGAAAAAATTTCTAAGAGATTAAAAAAAAAAACAAGAAAAGAAAAAAGAAAAGAAAGAGAAACAACTATTAATTCTAAGAAAAGCACAAGGTTACATAAAAAAGCCAATTTCTTCTTAGCACATTGTGTGACTTAGCTGTGAATAATATTTATATAATCAAAAATAAAATATGTGTTGACCATTTCTCTAACAAAAAATTATGACATATCTCTCTTGGGGAATTATGGAACAGGAAGTGTGTGTATATGTGTGTGAAGGTAGGGAAAGGAGGGGGCTAGGTAAGAGAGCTAAATTTCCCTAGCAGGAAATTAACAGAAAATACCTAAGCTTTAAAACATCAGGAAATAGCTATCATACATAGCTACGTAGACATATAGTGGTCAATATTAAAAAGAAACAACTAAAATAATATAATGTACTTTTTTTTTTTTTTTTTTTTTTTTGCTGGTGAGTGGAAATCAGAGGTAGGGACACTATTGCTGTTTTGGTTAAAAGCCTTATAGCCTTATTTGGCTGTTTTGCTGATATACACGTATTAGCCTAATACAATTAAAATTTTAATAAAATCAGAGACCCTTCCAAGAAACTAATATTCAAAAAAACAAATATCAAAAGTAAAAAAATTAATAAAACAAGAGGAAACAATTGTCTGGGGCCAGGGTAGGGTACTACTCCTAGTTCCAAGCCAGTTTTTAAATAAATGGACTTTAGGAACATAACCTGTTCATAAGGATGGACTTTCCACATTTCAAACCCAGTAATGGTAGAATAACTGCCTTAGGAGATTCTAGATACAGCCTTTCTTTCCGCCAACTTGCCCCACTGTTCGACTGTTTCTCATCATGCTGGGGGTGAACAGCATCCTCTCGGATGCTTGTAAAGCAATGGCCTGAACAGAGCTAATGTTTTTAGGTCCATGTAACTCCATTTTCCTAGACATAAAGTTGAGAGTTAAGTTTTGAGGCCTAATGGTCCCTTTCCTAATCTGAGAATGAGTTGGAAAGCTCAGCTCTCCTTCCTTTCTCTGGGCTGCTCCTTTCCAGGTGAAGGGGTTTGTGATGTTGTAAGCGAGGAGATTTGTCAGATTAAGCACACAGGGTGCCATGGAAGGTAAATTAAATTGACGATAGATTCAGCTTAATAAGACTTTGCAAACTTTCCAAATTCTTCAGTCAAGCTTCAAATTTCCAGGGAAAAGTGAAAGCTCTTAATTTACTGGGTTTAGGTTGGTCTGCCCAAGTTTTCCACTTGAGTAGTAAAATCCCTCCAACTTCTAGAATTCGAAGAGCAGCCAGGGCTGAGCTGGGAGCATTTCTCCCATCTGTGATAGGCCAAGCTTCTCAGGAATCAATTATCCTTCTTTTGGCATCAAACTCCCATTAGCCAATGACAGTTCCAACATAACCACCTGGTCCAGGTGGCTACACTTAGGAGAAGAAAGTAGGGGGTAGGGGGAAAGACCCCCACAGTGCCTTTGAGCAGAGCTCTTGCAATGTGAAGAGATACTTCTTGCACCTTTAGAGGAAAGGAAATTCCGAACATTTGCTTTCTGCTGTTGTTCCTTCTTCTCATCTTAGGGGTTCTGAGCCCATTTGCTTCAGTATAAAGATAGTTCTATGCTAGTTCAGTCACAGAGAGGGCTGGACCAGACCCTTGCCAGAATCTCCAGAGACAAGTGCCCATGCCATACAGAGCCCAAGAGTTAAGAATACCCTTGCTACTCTGGTGCCACATTGGTATGACATCTCCCTTAGGCATTCCTTAGTCCTTGCAGTAGAAGAAGCCCACCTTATCTTAAACCTGACATGCAAAAACTGAGTGATAAAGTAAATTAAAGAATGAGTATCTGTTTTGAAGTATGATCTTTACAAAAGGGTTCACCAAAGACTGCTTAGATTATTAGATTGATCAAAAAATCAATTTATGATACATCTTTTTCAGATGCGTATTATATAAAACAAAAGTGCTAAGACTGGGTATAACTGCTAGCAACAACAATACAAGTAGCTAGAACCAAAAGCATGCACCACCATGCCCAGCTGATTTTTTAATTTTATTTTAGAGATGGGGTCTCACTATGTTGCCCAGGCTGGTCTCAAACTTCTGGACTCAAGTGATCCTCCTACCTCAAGCATCCCAAAGTGCTGGGATTACAGCTATTTTATATATATATATATATATATATATATATATATATATATATATATATATATACATATATACACACATATATATATACACATACACATATATATGTATATATATACATATATATATATACACACACATAATTTACTTTTCTCATGAGCCTTGTCTGCGTGATTAGAATATAAGATCCATGAAGTCAAGACTGGTGTGACACATTTCTTTTTATCTTAGTCCCTGATATAGTTTGGATGTTATCCCACCCAAATCTCATATTGAAATGTAATCCCCAATGTTGAAGGTGGGGCCTGTTGGGAGGTGATTGGATGAATGATGGGGGCCGATCTCTCAGGAATGATTTAGTACTTTCCCCTTTGTACTGTTCTCGTGATAGTGAGTAAGTGCTCACAAGATCTGGTTGTTTAAAAGTGAGTGGCATCTCTCTCCAACTCTCTTGGTCCTGATTTCCTCATGTGATATGCCTGCTTCCATTTTGCGTTCCGCCATGATTCTAACTTTCCTGAAGCCTTCCCAGAAGCTATGCTTCCTGTATTTGCCTTCTGCCATGATTGTAAGTTTCCTGAAGCTTTCCCAGAAGCTGATGCAGAAGCTATGCTTTCTGTACAGCCTGCAGAAGCATGAGCCCATTAAACCTCTTTTCTTCTTAATTACTCAGTCTCAATTATTTATATTAGCAATGCAAGAACAGACTAATACAGTCCTTAGCCCAGATCTTACACATAATAGGTATTCAATGTACACTGTGTGTTGTTGATATTCACAAATTACTTCCTCTCTTTCTACAAAATGTTGAATAATACCTCCATCAGAAAAACCTGGGTTAAAGTAAGGGTATTTTTGTCTATCTGCAAAAAGATAAACATATTCTAATTTTTCTATAATGATTGCGGGTAGAGATAATCTCTGCCCTCAACAACACTCTTCCCTCATAGAGGGAAATGAAACTACAAATGTATTTGAATATAATAATAGTGAAGGAAATAATGTATGCTGTGGTCCGTTTCCAAGACAAAGTGCCTTGAATCGGTTTAGGTCAGCAAACCACAGAAGAAATAGGATATACTAGGCCCCTGCTTGGATAGCCAATGCCTGCTTGTCACCACTTCCCCTTAGTTGCCCTCACCCAAACCAAAGAAGTTTAGTCTGAAATGAAAGCTTACTAGCCTGCAAAATAGCTCGTTTTTTCTGTTCTTATTAGCCTACCCAGCTACTTAGGTCATAAGTCAAATACTTGAGTCCCTAAGCTAACTAGGATTGCAATGTATTGTGGGCTGCAACAAAATGCAGCAGGACAACCCTAAAGAAAACACCTAAAGCCACTACCCAACAACCGATAGGCAATGTCCAGGAAGACTGTGACCCCATAGTACTCAGCCTGTGAGGAACCGGGGGAAGGGACCTGTGCATTAGGGAATAAATTGCTTTTTGTAACTGTGCTGGGTGTGCCTGCCCACCGGACAGCCAATCTTGCAAGACCATCACGAAAAATCTCACTTTTACTGTTCTCTGGGTCTCTGAGTCCATTCTTTGGGCTTGGATGGTGAGTTTGTTTCTCACAATAGCAACAAATGCAACAACAACAGAAGCTAATTTTTATTGGGCACTTACTATATGCCAGGATCTGCTTAAAGCACTTTACATGTGTTAGCTTATTCAATCCTAAAAATAATTCTTCTAATCACATGCCTCCACATTGTCTTAAGAAACTCATCCTGTGTTCAAAAGCTGGATAATTTTCCAATTTTACAGAATCAGGTTGACATACTCTACAATCCTAGTCAGCATGATAAAGTGACACTCATACATTCATTTGAAAGACTTTAGGGAAATAGTTACTACATTGGCACAGAGATGTGGTGCCTCAACTCTGTCATGAAATTAGGACTTGTATGTGTTACAAGAAGAGGTGTGGATGAACTAAAGAAATTGTTTCTATGAGTAGAGATTTTGAAACAGAGAGTCCACTGGATCCCAAGTCACTGCTGTGTGAACTCACTCACCACACGGGAATTCTCCAAGTACCATCCTGCCTGACTCATTAATCTTATGAAGCACAGAGTGATCACACATGCCCCTGAAATGACTGTATGTAAAGTAAATTCAGGCTGTAACACACAAAGTTTTCAAGGTTGGCCTCATAGCACTGTAGATTCCCCCAGCAGATGGGCAGAGGAAGGAAACTTACTCTGTCTGAGATTCTCTCGTATTTCCAGGGCAACAAATCATGCGTAATGAAAACAAAGCAAAGTCAGTACCAGCCCAGGGCCAGCCATCACCCCACCCAAACCAGAAGGGCAGGAGCCTAATTCATGAAATGTGCTGTGCTTCTTCCTCCGGCCAGCCAGGCTCGGGGTTTCCTGATGTGTTCCTGGAACCAGAGCTAATGGAATCAGGAAAGCATGTTACTTTGCCACTGCCAGTCATTGCAAGTACAACAAAATAAATATTGCTTTAAAGAAAACAATTATCATAAAGACAATTAGTAATGAAAACAGTTATGCCTTCCTTTGTTTTTGAGACAGGGTCTCACTCTGTCACCCAGGCTGGAGTACAGTGGCACAATCTCTGCTCACTGCAACCTCCGCCTCCCCATTCAAGCAATTTTCGTGTCTCAACCTCCCGAGTAGTTGGGACTACAGGTATGCATCACCACATCTGGCTAATTTTTGTATTTTTTGGTAGAGACGGGGTTTCAACCATGTTGGTCAGGGTGGTCTCGAACTGCTGATCTCAAGGGATCAGCCCACTTCAGCCTTTCAAAGTGCTGGGATTACCAGCGTGAGCCACCGTGCCCGACCCAGTTCCGCCTTTCTAAATTGGCCTCTTAATATTTTAGAACATTTCATTCCTCTGGCCTTGAGTGAAGAATAGAAACTACAGAGGGAAGGATTTGGAGTGGCTAATGTTGGCAGAAGTGAGAATCAGAATTATGGAACTGCAAAGTCCTATGACCTTCCATTTACTGAAGAGGAAACAGAAGCACAGCAAGAGTGCTCAAGAGACTTACCTAATGCCACTCCACACAGTAAGTACTGGAATCCGGGACTTGGACTGCCAATTCCATGTGCTTTCATTTGTGACATTACTTTTTTTTTTTTTAAAAAAAAAGAACAATGTAATGTTTCAATAAAATTTAAAATTTTGGTTAAAAATCACCTATAATCATAACCTTCTGATAACTATTATCATTCTTGTATGTTTCCTTCCAACATTATTTTCATACATTTAACATAATCATAGCCATTAACCATATGTGTTTCTGTTTTTTTTGTTTGTTTGTTTGTTTGTTTTTGAGACAGAGTCTCGCTCTGTTGCCCAGGCTGGAGTGCGGTGGCGTGATTTTGGCTTACTGCAACCTCGGACTCTCAGGTTCAACGGGTTCAAGCAATTCTCCTGTCTCAGCCTCCCGAGTAGTCGGGACTACAGGTGCCTACCACCATGCCTGGCTAATTTTTGTATTTTTAGCAGAGACGAGATTTCACCATATTGCTCAGACCGGTCTCAAACTCCTGACCAAAACGAAGTGTTTTTTTAACCTACAATTTAAGTAAATGTTTAATGTTTATTTATAATTTATTTATTAAATGTTTACATTCACCAGGCACTATTCTAAATAAAACAATGTTGCTGTCCTCACATAATGAAGATTCTGGAGGGGTCAACATAGAATACGTACATAACCAAGTAATGTACAACATTCCACCATGATGAAGATAATTTGTTCCTAAATAAAGGTCCTCGTGGGTGAATTCTCATAGGCTGAAAATGTACCTAACATTCATTTTGACAGAAAAGACACTCTTTTCTCTTAAGCCCCCAAATTAACACCTATTTATGTTAAAATAACATCAATCCCATTAAAACAGGTACAATTATCTCAAAGGTAAATGGTTATCATAGGACTGATGTCTGTGCTCATAAAGCATCAAAGCAACCATATGATTCTCTGCGTTTATGTAATTAAATGTTTAATGAAAAAACAAAAACAAAAACATGAGCTCTTTTTTGTGGCACCTTGGAGGCAATTAGCTGCTTCAGGATGAAGCTAAATATCTCCTCCCCAGCCACTGGCTGACAGACACTCATTGGATTGGACAACGAATGGCAATTTTGTACTTATGAGAAGCATATGGCACAGAGGTTGCTGCCGACGCTCTGGAAGAGTTATGTGGTCCGAGTCAGTGGTGGGACCAACGAACAAGGTTTCCTCATGAAGCAGTGTGTCCTGACCCATGGCTGGGTCTGCCTACTGCTACTGAGTAGGGGCATTCCTGTTATAGACCAAGGAGAACTGGAGAAAGAAAGTGCGAATCTGTTTGGGGTTTCATTGTGCATGCCAATCTGAGCATTCTCCAGTTGGTTATCTTAAAAAAAAAAAAAAAAAGGAGGGAAGGATACTCCTGGACTGACTGATACTATGGTGTCATGTTGCTGGGGGCCCAAAAGAGCTAACAGAAATGCAAACTTTTCAGTCTCTCTAAAGAAGACAATGCCCCCCACCCATATGTTGCCAGAAAGCCCTTAAACAAAGAGAGTAAGATACTGAGGACCAAAGCACCCAAGATTCAGCATCTTGTTACTCTACATGTCCTGCAATACAAACACTGGTATTGCTCAGAAGAAACAGCATACTAAGAAAAATAAGAAAGAGCCACAAAATATGTTAAACTTTTGGCCAAGAGAATGAAGGAGACTAAAGAAAAACTCCAGGAGCAGATTACCAGAGACACAGGTTGTCCCCTCTGTAAGCTTCTACTTCTGAGTCTAGTCAAAAATAAGATTTTTTGACTTACTTAACAAATGAGTAAGATCATACCACCCCCAGCAAAATAATCAATAAAGACTAAGGACATTGATGAAAATGATGGAGAAGATGATGACTTCCATGAGTACTTTAAAGGAGAAACTTAAAGCAACTTGTATAATTTTTAAGACTGCAGAGCTGACATGTGGTAACTTATGCTGAATCTGCTCAGTAGCTTCCCACAGCCCCCAAATCTGAATCACATTCCTTCAATGTGAAGAATGCCTCATAAGCTAAAGTTGAGGAACTAAATAAACTGATTAAGTCTCTGTCTTATGACACCTCCCACCCCCTATCACAGTTCTATCCAGGGCAGCATTGACTAGCGTAATAGCAGGGTGTGATATGTGGTAGGACAGATAGGATGGGGAGGACAGGGAATGATGTTAGGTGGAGATGGGGGAATGACAAGGAGTCTGGTGTGAGGGAGCCCACTGAGGGAGGGCTAGGTGGTAGAAGCTAATGCTGGCCAGGTAGCTAGGTGCTAGATTAGAGAGCACCTTGCTAGCCACACTGAAGACCTGAGTACTTTGGAAGCCAGTGGAAACTTCTGAGCAAGGAGTGACACAATCAGACTCACATGTGAGAAGGAGACTGTGGGTGAGGGAGATAAGTTAGGTGACTATTGTGGGGTTCAACTGAAAGAGGAGGTAAAAGCATGGGTCAGGGTTACAATGGTGCAGACAGAGAGAAATAGTTATAGTTTATCTGTAGTTTGAATATAAAACCAACCGGATTCCCTTTGAATTGAATATGATACATCAGGGAAAAAGAGGAATCAATCTTAGTGCATACTCTATGTCAGGCCTTGTTCCTATGTTTTACATATATTCATAACAATAAAAATAATATCAAATGCCTTTCTAATACCTTCCCTATGCCAGATTCTATATGCTTTAATCTACTTTCACCCACATCACCCTTACAGCAATCCCATAGGGTAGGCACTATTATCATTTCCATTTTCTGATGAGAAACTGAGGCACAGACAGGAAGGGCAATGCACACGGGAAATGCTGGAGCTGATTTTAGACCCCAGACGTTCTGGCTGCAGAGTTGAGATTCACAATCACTGCAAACACTGCATTCCATGGTCACAAGGTTTTGGTCCGAGCAGTTGAGTGGGTGATGTTGCTATCGACCAAGACAGGAATACCTGAGGCAGAGCAGGTTTGGGGGAGTGGATAGCGAAGGCCTGGGTTTTTGGCCATGCTAAGTTTGGGATGCCTGTTAGACCTCTAAGTGGAAATGTTGTGTGGCCATAGGGTGTGAAGAATCTGGAGTTTAGGAAAGGAGCCAGAACTGGAGATAGCTGAGCTATATGGAATGTTCAGCTCATAAACAGAAGTTAAAGCTGCGGGACAGGATGAAAGTACTGAGGAAGACTAAGTCCTGGTCACTCCAGCATTCACAGTCCAGAAATAGGAGGAGCTCCAGCAAAAGAGATTGGGAAGGAGTGACCTGTAAGGCTGGAGGAAACCAGGAGAGTGTGCTGGAAGGTAAAAAATTTCTAGGAGGGAATGATCCACTCTGTGAAATGCTGCTGAGAAGTCCAGCAAAGGGAGGATGCTGCCAGATGTCATGATGCTCAGTTTAATTGTTGCATACAACTTCTTCAAGTGGAAGATTTCTCTTTTTATCTACTCTTGCATTTTCAACCCCTTCACATATAGCTCACAAAGTAGAGGAAGAGAGCTCATCTAACTTCAACGTGAAGTTGTTAATTTGAATTCAGTTTAAATATTTATTGGGTGTCAGGTATGGTACTAGGCCACAGAGATTCAGGGGTAAGTGAATCACAGAGTTCTTGCTTTTTTTTTTTTTTTTTTTTTTAGACAAGGTCTCGCTCTGTCACCCAGGCTGGAATACAGTGGCAATCACGGTTCACGGCAACTTCTATCTCCTGGGGCTCAAGCAATCTTCCCACCTAAGCCTCCCAAGTAGCTGGGATTATAGGTACATGCCACCACATGGGTATTTATTTTATTTTTTGTAGAGATGGGGTCTTGCCATGTGGCCCAGGCTGGTCTCTAACTCCTGGCCTCAAGTGATTTTCCCACCTTGGCCTCCCAATGTGCTGGGATTATAGGCATGAGTCACTATGCTGGGAGGGTTCTTGCTCTAGACAATGGACTAAGCAATGAGAAGGAGGAGGGGAGGGAAAATAGGAGGAGGAGAATGATGAGGAGGGGTGCTGGGGAGGAGGGGAAAGGAGAGGAGAGGGAGAAGGAAAGGAAAGGGAGAAGGGAGGAGGAAGAAGTGGAGAAAGAAGAATACCATGATAATATTAATATTAACATTTGGAGGTTGCCTAATGAACTCAGCCAGAACACCCCATAGAAAAGCCCAATGGTTGACACACCTCCGCTTAACAGGCCATAAAGTACTAGGGGGAGAATAAAGGTTTTTTCACATATGCTCATTCTCAAAATAATGATCTCCTGTGCATGCTTTCTCAGGACGCTACTGGATGATATGCACGGCCAAGACAAGGGAGTATCCAAAGAAGAAACATGAGATTCAGGCAATAAAGAATCAGTAGGATACAGGCCAGAATAATTCCCACCATATTTTAAACTGAGATCCCAAGACAACCACTGTGCACCAGGTCTAGATAACAATCAGTCCACATTGATTGCCTGATTTTCAAAACATATTAAGTGGAGGTTTACGCTCTTGGGGAAGAGTTTGGGAAGGAGATTATGGGGGAAGGTTGCAGGGGGTGTTTCATTTTTGATTTTGTTTCTGAGTATGTAGACATTCCCTTAGTTCCCCAGTGTTCAATACAGAGGCCGCCTCACAGTTACATCAGTGTTCCCTGTCCGGAGTCTCCTGTTAAGTTCTGTGAGTAAGACTTCAGTCTTCTGCTAGGCTAGGGGAGGGACAGTTGCCCAGCTGCACAGGGTAGGCAAGGGGATAGGTGAAATGTCCCTTCATACAGATTTGCAACCAACTCTGTTTTTTAAGTCTCTATCCCAACATAGGCCCTGCTTCAAGAGCTATCACAACATCCAATTCCTGCTCCTTTTGGGGCTTCTGAGATACAAATAAGCCTGCTTCTAAGACCTTCTCATGCTGCTGTCTTGAATTTCAGCTTTCTCTGCTTTTCTAAGTGAGTCTCTTCTTATTCACCTGCTTTTTGGATCCCAGAATTATATGAGTGTTTTGTTTTTTGTCTCTTACTCTCTTTATCCTTATGACTAGAGTCATTTTTGTGAAGTTTGGAAGGGAACAAAAGGTAAAATATGTGCTCAATCTGCCACACTGTTTAAAAAGTGGTTTTCTTTTTAAATTACCAAATATATGCATACAGTTTAATATATATTATAAAGTGAATGATCATTAACCAACACTCAAATCAAGAAATAAACATTGCTAGCTTCCCTAAAGCCCCCCATATGTCCCCACCTGATTACAACTAGTTCTCTCCCTTTAGATGTGACACCATCCTACCTTTTATGATTACTGCTTCCTTCTTTTCCTTTACAGTTTTACCACCTATGTATCCATTGTGAAACAACTGAGTTTAGCTTTGCCTGCTTTTGAATTTTATGTAAATAGAGACATATGGTGCATATTCTTTTGTGTTTGGTTTCTTTTACTCAGCTCTGTAAAATTCAACCACATCATCATTACATATATCCACTTTGGTTATACACGGATACCACAGTCTATCCATGTTACTGTGGATGTACTTCTGAGTTGTTTCTAGTTTGGAGTAAATCTTAATGCTATGAATATTCTTGTACACACTATTTGTGCACATATACACACGTTTCATTTGGTATGCCACAAGAAGTGGAAATTCTGTGGCACAGTGCATAAACATCTTCATCCTTCTAGATATTATCCGTTGTTTTCCACAGTGCTTGTACCAGCAGTCTATGCAAGTTCCCAGTGCTCCACGTTTGTGCCAACATTGGTATTGTCTGACTTCAGTGGTGGCTGTACAACCTAACGTGTTCAGCTGGAAATACCTTGTTAAGTTTTCCATGTACCTTCTATCGCTTCATCACTGCACTTTTGGAAAGAGCTTCTAAAACTCCTTTCTTATAGAGGGCAGACCCATAAGGCAACCTACATGTTCCATTGCTTTTTCTTAGAGAAGATTTCAGGTAGAGCTTCTGACAACCTGCTCCAATTGGGACTAGCTGCTCACTAATTCTGCCTCAATCATCCGTTTCCTGAATCTCATGTCTTTTTTTTTTCTGCATTTTTCCCGTTTTCATAGAGCACATCTTCCAGAAGCTTCATGAGAAATGATGTGTAAGGAAATACTATTTTTGAGACCTTGCATATTTGAAAATATCTTTATTCTCCACTCATAGTAAATAGTTTGGGTAGAGAATTTTAGGTTGGAAATAATTTTTCATAAAAAACTTTGAAGGCATTTTTATTTTCCTCTAGCTTTCGATGTTGCTGTTGAGAAGTCTGATGCCATTCTGATTTCTGATCTTTGTATATGACCTATTTTTTTTTCCCTCTCTATGGAAGCTTTTAGGATTGTCTCTGTGTTTCTGACATTTCACAACAGAAGTGAATTGTTAAATTCACTACACACTTGGTGAGCAATTTCAGTATGAAGAATATGTTCTTAAGATTTTTGGAAATTTTCCTGAATTTTCCTTTGATAATTGCCTTCCCTCCACTCTTTCTCTAGAATTCCTAGAGTCATGTTTTCAACCTCCAGCATTAAACCTCTAATTTTCTTTTCTTTCCACTTTTATTTTTCATCTCTGGGTATTTTTGTTCCACTTTATAGAAGCTTTCCTTAATTTTATCTCCTAACCCTTCCACTAATTCTGCTCCTATATTTTTTAGTTTCCAAGAGCTCCTTCTTATTCTTTATATGTGACATTTTAATAGGAAACTCTTCACATTTAATGAAAGCAAAATTGTCCTCCTTTTTTAGAAAATGGTAACTAGTTTTAAAATGTTTTCTTTTGCCTCTGCATTTACTGTTTTCTCAATGTTTCTTTTACAGTTTATTTTGGACTCTGTCTCCTATGTGAAAGGTTTTTTCCAAGTGGCTAGTGATCCCTAACTGACCAGTTCATGTGAAGGGGAGAGGCACCATGAGCTAATCAGAAACTTATGCGGAGGGGGGACATACAGATTAGAGGGTCTCACTTTAGGATAACCAGGTGGGAGCCCTGTCTTTTTATAGCCTCTAAATGCCAGTTTTTGTTTTGTTTTGTTTTTTGTCTATTCTTTTGGGCTGCTTGGTTTTTCTAGAAAGGAATTCTCTCCAATCCTGCCTAAAATAGTGTAAGTCTGGTATTTAGCATTCTGGGAGCCTGGTAGGGGAAAGGGTGGATGGGTCAGGGATGGTGGAGTGTTGTCTCACTCTTCATTAGGCGAACTTCTCTGATTTTTATTTTCCAGTAAAATGCCTTGCTCTAGCCCTTAGCTGTGACTAGTGCCCTTAAGCCAGAGTTTTTTGGTTTTTGTTTAGTTTAACCTCTCCAGAAAGGGTATCTTTAGTTTTCTGTCAAGAAGAAGGGAGGAGCAGTTACCTGGCTGCCCAGTCTAGGAGAGGGGAAAGGATGTGGTCTCTAAGAACTCCGTATATGAGTCCTTGGGTTTTTCATTCTACCTCATATCTCTGCCTTTAGAGGTATACAGCATATCTGATTTTGGATATTTCTTAGGGGATGTATTAGTCCGTTTTCACGCTGCTGATAAAGACATACCCTAGACTGGGTAATTCATACAGAAAAAGAGACTTAATGGGCTCACAGTTCCACGTGGCTGGGGAGGCCTCACAATCATGGTGGAAGGTGAAAGGCAGGTCTTACATGGCCCCAGGGAGAATGAGAGAGAAAGAGAGAGAGAGAGAAAGAGAGAGAGAGAATCAAGCAAAAGGGGTTTCCCCTTATAAAACCATCAGATTTCTTGAGACTTATTCACTAACATGAGAACAGTATGGGGGAACTGTCCCTATGATTCAATTATCTCTCACCAGGTCCCTCCCACAACATGTGGGAATTATCAGAGCTACAATTCAAGATGAGATTTGGGTGGGGACTCAGCCAAACCATATCAGGGAGCACTATAGCACAGATTGTTTTGTTCTTGTTGCCTTTCATCTTTTATGGTATTTAACAAATGAAGAAGGCTAAAATTGAAGTTAATTTCCACTTGTTTGTCTGCATTCATTCTTCCAAAATTGTATTGAATACAGTCGATAAATTGTATTTATCTGCAGTCACCCCTTGTCTCCTTCTCTTTGTCCCTATAAGCTAAACACCTTTTTTATTCCTTTAATGCCATTTTAGTGGAGTATATACAATCCATACATTTTCCTAGGTATTTTTCTTTCTTCATTCATACTTTCTATATCCAAAAGAGGATTTGAGCTTGTTGCAATAAAATATACATATGCAAAAAAGTTGAAATTTGGGAAAAGTAAAAAATATCAAGTAGTAAAAGAAAGGAAACACCTGTGGTGGAAATCTAGGCTAAGGATATAGGCCGTGACTGTACAAAGGTTGGCCCTTACTAAACACCTTGGCAGTTCTGCTAAAAGGAGGAACAGGAGGAATTTCTCAGCCCTCATTATCTAACAGGAAGCACTCCAGGGCATCAGATAAAACTTCTGCTAAGTTTACTGAGTGAGTTGATTCTGTAACTGAATAAAAGTTCTTGGTGCTCCAACTTGGAATTGATTCTACTGAAGAGATTAGAGTGAGACCCAGATAAGAAAAATAAATAAATAAAGATAGATGTGAGGGGTAGGGATGCTAAGTCTTGATTGATTGGCATCTTTCCCAACTCAAGCACTGTGATGACACCATCTGTTGTTACTCACTCTATATTCCCAATTTATTCAGGGTTTCTAGGTGGAAGGACATTAAGAAAGTACCCTGTAGAGGAATTCTTATAGTCTTCTCTTTCTTTTCCATTTCAACAGGATATTCTCAGAGCCCTCTAGCAACTGTGACTGTGATTTCAAGGCAAGAAGTAAACAGACAGTAGGGAATTATGTTAGGAGTATATATTCCTTTACTTTTCCTCTCAAAGAGAGAGAAAATAGGCTTTTTTTTTTTTCCTGATAAGAAAGTGTATGAGTAAGCCTAGATTCAGGGCCCAATAAGATCATGCTCAGATTTTCAAATTACAGTTTTAGAAATTTTGGGGGAAATTCTTGATGCCAAAAGGCATTGTGAAATAGTATCAATACAATTGCAGGTTTAGCATTTTCTTTATGCAATAAACAGTACAGGGCTCTGGGGCTTTACAAAGATGAGCAAGCAACAGTCCCTTTTCCCAAGGAGCTTACAGTGTCTCACAGGAGATAATAAAATGACACAAGTGATTAATAGAGGAGAGAGCTTCAGAATGTCTAGCCAGCTACACATGTCTAGCCACCTGCCTACATGGAGACCCAGTCCCCTTTTCCCACCCACAAGGTGAATCTGGGAAGCCACAAACAGGAACCCTGCCCTTCTAACTGCAGCTGATTAAATTAGAGGTCAAGAGATACGTGACCTAAGGAAAACCAATTGGATTTCCTCTCCAAAGATTTAAAATTAGAATTCAAAGGTGCTAATCAGTCTCTGCTGTCCACTGATTTAAGGGCGTAGAAGCACTGGCTTGGATATTTCTGACCAGGCACCAGTGGCAATGCAGAGAAAACACATCTGGAGAGAAAGAGGCATGCAGAGTGGCTTTCCAGTCCTGCTTTTGGCCTCATGGGATCCATGAGATACTCCCATATTAAAAGTTTTGATTCAAACAACTGTAATACAATACTACTGTGAAGACTATGAAATATATGCTAAGGGGGCTCAAAGAGGGAGAGAAAGCACATATTATTGTGGAGCAGGTGGGATTAGAAATAGTGAAATATTACATGAAAAATTTTTACGACTGAGTTCACCTTAAATGATGGGTAAGATTCTAACAGGAGGAGATAGGTTGAGAGCATTAATTAGTGAAAGAACCATATGGGGGAGAGAGAAACCAGGTGTGTATGTTCCAAGGTGCCTGGGGGTGGTTAGGTTTTATGATGAAAATTAAATAGCTCTTGGAGTAGATTCTATCTTTGCATCAGCTATGACGCAAGTCAGCATATTCTAGGTCCTTTCTCCACTTGGAAAGAATTACTGCCAATTATCAGTCCATTTCCATTGGCTTCCCTCTAACTACTTTGCTTCAAAAAAAATGAAAAGTTCATTTATTCCTATAGTTCTATAAAAGAAATCTACTCAAAAAGATGTGAAATGACTTATAATGCAATACTGTAATTTTTTATATAAACTTCATCTTTGTTTCCTTGTTACAGGATAAGTGGTAAGTAAATATTGCCTAGTAATGTGACATGAGTAACAGAAAATACAAACTTATTTTCGCCCTAGGGAAGCCTGCTTACTTTTCTTGACCCTCTTCTCAATATCTACCTATAATCTTCAGATATAGCAAAGGGCCAGCAACCACTTTTCTGGGAAAAAAAGATATTTTGCCAAACTTTGAAAACACACCAAAATATGGGACTGAAAAATAGTGCATATATATCAATTGAGTGCAGTGGTCTGATCATAGTTCACTGCAGCCTCGAACTCTTGGCCTTAAGGGATCCTCCTGCCTCAGCCTCACAAAATGCTGGGATTACTGGTGCCTTGCCCTATTGTTTAAACTAACATTTTTCATAAAATACTAAATGTGAATATCTTCCAAAACTTGAAAGAACTATGCAGTTATAAAGCATTATAAAAATAGGCATATTAGATATTTTTATATGTTTTTAAGTTCATTGATTAGCGAGAGGAATAAAACTGAACTCAGTAGAAAAGTTTTGGAGAGAAACAAAAAAGTGAGGATTTTTACCTTATAGCTAACATTATCTACCTCATTTAGAGAAGGATCTTGTTTTTATACTATAATCCTTTTAGACAACAAGCCAATGAAATTTTAAATTCAAAGGCAACTCAAATGATTCTTGACAAGGGTGACAAGACTTTTCAATGGAAAAGGGTAGTATTTTAAGCAAATAGTACTAGGAAAACTGAATATCTACATGCAGAAGAATCAAGTTGGACCCTTACCTAACACAGTATACAAAAATTAACTCAAAATGGACCAAAGACTTTTTAAGACCTAAAATGATACAATTCTTAGAAGAAAACATAGGTCAAGTCTTGAAGATATTAGAGTTGGCAATGATTTCTTGGATATGACACCAAAGGAACAGGGCACAAAAGTCAATAAATTGGATTGCATAATGATTTAAAAATTTTGTGCATCAAAAGACACTATCAACAGAGGAAAATGATAACCCACAAAATGGGAGAAAATATTCACCAACCATATACCTGATAAGCGATTAATATCCAGAATATGTAGAGAAATCTTACAATTCAACAAAAAACAATTTAAAATGGGCAAAATACTTAATAAACACTTCTCCAAAGAAGATATGCAAATGGCAATAAGCACATGAAAAGGTGCCCAACATCACTAATTATTAGTGAAATGCAAATCAAAACTACAAGATACCACCTCACACCCATAGGATGGCTACTATTTTTTTTAAAAAGAAAATAACAAGTGCTGACAAGGGTGTGGAGAAATTAGAATGCTTGTGCACTGTTGGTGGGAATGTCAAATGTTACAGCCACTGTGGAAAACAGTATGGCAGTTCTTGAAAAAAAAAATAGAATTAGTGTATGATCCAGCAATTCCACTTTTAGGTATATGCTCAAAAGAATAGAAAGTAAGGATTTATGAAACATTTGTATATTCATGTTCTAGCAGCATTATTCTCAATAGCAAAAACATGGAAGTAACCGAAGTGTCCACTGACAGATGAATGGATAAGCAAAATGTGGTATATCCATACAATGGAATATAACTCAGTCTTAAAAAGGAAGGAGATTCTGACCTATGCTACAATGTGGATGAATCTTGAGAGTATTATGCTAAGTTAAATAAACTAGTCACAAGAAGACAAATGCTGTATGATTACACTTATATGAGGTATTTTGAGTATTCAAAACCACAGAGACAAAGTAGAATGGTGGTTGTAGGGGGTTAGGGGATGGGTCAATGGAGAGTTAGTGTTTAATGGATATAGAATTTAAGTTTTACAAGATGAAGAGTTATGGAGTTGGACGTTGGTGATGGTTGCATGACATTATGAATGTGTTTAATGCTACTGAATTGTACACTTTAAAATGGTTAAGATAGTAGATTTCATCTTATGTGTATTTACCACAATGAAAAATATTGGGAAGGCCAGGTGCGGTGGCTCACGCCTATAATCCCAGCACTTTGGGAGGCCGAGGTGTGTGGATCACCTGAGGTCAGGAGTTTGAGACCAGCCTGGCCAAAATGGTGAAACCCCATCTCTACTAAAAATACGAAAATTAGCCAGGCATGGTGGCAGGCACCTGTAGTCCCAGCTATTTGGGAGCCTGAGGCAGGAGAATGGCTTGAACCCGAGAGGGGAAGGTTGTAGTGACCCAGGATCGCACCATTGCACTCCAGCCTGGGTGACAGAGAGATACTCCATCTCAAAAAAAAGAGGGGGGGGAAAGTAAGTCATATTTCAAAATATACTCAAGAAATATTTTCTTCAAAGGATCTGAGCAGCCAAGTAAGGGGCAGTCCACTGTGTCAAGATGCCATACCGTTCTGGTGCACTGTGTGTCTCTCCATTCTGGGTCTGCCTCTGCCTTCCACTTCACCGTGCTTCTGCCTCAGTGGTCCTGGTGCCAGTGGTCTTCTAAGTAGCTCCCTAGAAGAGAACAGCTGTTTGCCACAACAAGGGAAAAACTGGAGACTATCAACTTGAAGTAGAGAAGGTAACAGTAGGAACTGGTTATTGTCATAGTGTTTTTAAATCTGAGAACTTTTAACTTTGCCAACTAAGGATGATTGATGGGGAAAGAGTAAAATATCTGGGAAACTGGTCTCTGAGAAAGAAATTTGTTCGGTGGAGGTTGTGGGTGAGATGGATGCGGCAGAGACTGCTACTATCCCCTAGGTTCCATTCTCTCCTTCTTTAGAAATAGGACCTTCAGTTTTTAGTTCAGCATGTGGTCCTCTGGTACAAAGGCTACATTTCCCAGTCTCCCTTGCAACTACATGTGGTCATGTGACTAAGTTTTGTCCAATGGGATGTAAGTGGAACTGCCTTGTAAAATTGATGGTAAAAGTCCTTAAAGGGCATAGCTATGCCCCATCAGCCCTTTCCTTTTTCATACTACAGTGGAAGTCCAATGTGAGGATAGCAGAACTGTTAAGAGAGGAGTTTTAATCCCAAACAACTTTCTATGGCCTCATCCCCTGACCTACTCCAATCCTGGGCTACCTATTTCTGTACTTTAAATTGAAAGAGAATACATTTGCATCTTGTTTAAGCTATTGTTATTTTGGTTTCTGTCACTCAGCCAAACTCAATACTACTTGATAAAATTGGTAAAAAAAAATGATAAATTAGAAAACTGCTTTATGTCTAATGAAGCTTTAAAATAAAAAGTACTTCCTCATATGGGTTCTCTGTTTTTCCTCCAAAATGTCTATGAAGACACAGAAAAAGAGGAAATTTACAACATTAGAAATTAGGACCAGTGCAACTTAGTTGAGAGAATTTTCTAATAATTCCTTCTTTTGTCTATTCATTTGTTCAGCATGTTTATTAAAAAGTACCCCTCATGTGCTAGGCTGTTCTAGGCCCAGGGAATATAGTGGTGAACAAAACAGATAAAGTTCTTGTCTTCATGGACCTTCTATTCTAGTGGGAGAACAGAGACCACCATCAAGATAAAAAAAATAAATATAATGTCAGTTTGTATATGTAGATGAAGAAAAACAAAGCAAAGGAAAGGAGTAGAAAATGATAGACACAAATTGTGAATTGAGTGGTCAGAGAGGGCCTCTTGGAGGAGGGTGACATCTGAGCAGATCCCTGAATGAAATGACAGTGGGAGTTCTGGTGATATCTGGAAGAAGAGCATTCAAAGCAGCGAGAACAACACGTGCAAAGGCCCTGAGACAGAAACAGGCTTGGCAGATTCCAGAAATGGTAAGGAAGACGATGTGCTTAGAGAAGAGTAAGTGGATGAAAAGAAGTGGTAAGAAGAGATGTCAGAGCTTGTCAGGGGACAGACAGTGTAGGATAAATTGACAGGAGATAAGTTGATTAAAAATCATACTTTGTGTCCACTCTGAAAAGAAAATGTTGTGAAATGATGGGAAGACCTCTTGTCCCTCCATTACAATCTACAATGGGTTCAGAATCATAACACCTACTCTCATGAGAGAGATGGAGTATTAGTCCATTTTCATGCTGCTGATAAAGACATACTTGAGACTGGGTAATTTATAAAGAAAAAGAGGTTTAATGGACTCACAGTTCCATGTGGCTAGGGAGGCCTCTCAATCATGGTGGAAGGTAAAAGGCATGTCTTACATGGTGGCAGACAAGAGAGAATGAGAGCCAAGTGAAAGGGGTTTCCCCTTATAAAACCATCAGATCTCATGAGACTTTTTCACCACCACAAGAACTGTATGGGGGAAACCACCCCCTTGATTCAATTATCTCCTACTGGGTCCCTCCCATAACACATGGGAATTATGGGAGCTATAATTCAAAATGAGATTTGGGAGAGGACACAGCCAAACCATATCATTCTACTCCTGGCCCCTCCCAAATCTCATGTCCTCACATTTCAAAACCAGTCATGCCTTCCCGACAGTCCCTCAAAGTCTTATTTCAGCATTAACTCAAAAGTCCACTGTCTAAAGTGTCATCTGAGACAAGGCAAGTCCCTTCCACCTATGAGCCTGTAAAATCAAGAAGCAAGTCAGTTACTTCCTAGATACAATGGGGGTACTGGCATTGGATAAATATACCCATTCCAAATGGGAGAAATTGACCAAATAAAGGAGCTAAAGGCCCCATGCAAGTCCAAAATCCAGTGGGGCTGTCAAATCTTAAAACTCCCAAATGATCTTTTTTGACTCCATGTTTCACATGCAGGTCACACTGGTGCAAGAGGTGGGTTCCCATGGTCTAAGGCAGCTCCACCTCTGTGGCTTTGCAGGGTACAGCCTCTCTCTTGGCTGCTTTCACAGGCTGGCATTGTCTGTGGCTTTCTCAGGCACATGGCACAAGTTGTTGGTGGATCTACAATTCTGGGGTCTGCAGGATGGTGGCCCTTTTCTCACAGTTCCACTGCGCAGTGCCCCCGTGGGGACTCTGTGTGGTGGCGTCAACCCCACATTTCCCTTCTGCACTGCCCTAGCAGGTGTTCTCCATGAGGGCCCTGCCCCTGCAGCAAACTTCTGCCTGGACATCCAGATGTTTTCATGCATCTCTGAAATCTAGGCAGAGGTTCCCAAACCTCAATTCTTGACTTCTGTGCACAAGCAGGCACAACACCACATGGTAGCTGCCAAAGCTTGGGGCTTGCACCCTCTGAAGCCATAGCCCAAGCTGTACCTTGGCCCCTTCTAGCCATGGCTGGAGCAGCTAGAACACAAGACACCAAGTCCCTAGGCTAGACACAGCAGGGGGTCCTGGGCCTGACCCACAAACCATTTTTCCTCCTAGGCCTCTGGGCCTGTGATGGGAAAGGCTGCTGCAAAGTTCTCTGACATGGCCTGGAGACATTTTCCCCATTGTCTTGGAGATTAACATTTGGTTCCTCATTACTTATGCAAATTTCTGCAGCAGGCTTGAGTTTCTCCCCAGAAAATGGGTTTTTCCTTTCTATTGCATCATCAGGCTGTAAATTTTCCAAACTTTCATGCTCTGCTTCCTTTTTAAAACTGAATGCTTTCAACGTCACCCAAGTCACCTCTTGAATGCTTTGCTGCTTAGATATTTCTTCTACCAGATACCCTAGATCATCTTCCTCAAGTTCAAAGTTCCACAAATCTCCAGGGCAGGGGCAAAATGCCATCAGTCTCTTTGCTAAAACATAGGAAGAGTCACCTTCACTTCAGTTCCCAACAAGTTTCTCATCTCCATCTGAGACCACCTCAGCCTGGATTTCATTGTCCATATCATTATCAGCATTTTTGTCAAAGCCGTTCAACAAGTCTTTAGGAAGTTCCAAATTTCCCCACATTTTCCTGTCTTCCGAGTCCTCCAAACTGTTCCAACCTCTGTCTGTTGCCAAGTTCCAAAGTCTCTTCCACATTTTCAGGTATTTTTACAGCAGCACTACACTGTACCAGTACAAACTTACTGTATTAGTCCATTTTCACACTGCTAATAAAGACAAACTCGAGACTGGGTAATTTATAAAGAAAAAGAGGTTTAATGGACTCACAGTTCCACACGGCTGGGGAGACCTCACAATCAGAAGGAGAACGGTATGGGGGAAACCACCTCAATGATTCAATTATCTCCCACTAGGTACCTCCCACAACATGTGGGAATTATGGGAGCTACAATTCAAAATGAGATTTGGGTGGGGACAGAGCCCAACCATATCAGTTGGGCAGCCAGCCATCTGTTGTTGGGTGATTTTTACCAAAGTGCATCTTTCTCTGTACAATCAGAGGCTTCCACCTCCAGAGAATGTGTTATCTTAATCCTCTGGCTGGATGCTTATGAGGATAGAGTAAACTGGCAATGTGCAGTGAATCTTGGGAGGGGTCATCCTTACAAATAAAGCACTACAGTTTGGTAGAGATGGAAGAACTTCAGATGCAGTGGATGCTGTAACCGATGGCTTTTATGATGGTATTTCATGGTGATAGTGTGAGAACGCCAGACAGAGGGAACAGGTGACAATATTGTCTCTGTCCAAAAGAGTCATAGTAAATGCAAATCTGCTTATCATGCTATTGAGTTAGGTACTAAACTTTGCTATGCCATCCAGTTGTAAAACCTAGAGCCCCAAAGAAGAGAATAATAAGATAGAAAACAACACAACTGATCTTTTGGCTAACACTAAGTCTGGAAATTACCCTTCCATTTGAGATGATTGCCAGAAAAATCATCAATATATATCCTATGAAAAACTCCTGAGGGGCAGAGGAATGGGATCAATGCTTCAAAGACTCAGAGAAAGAAAATCACTATAAAAATTATTTGCTCCTAGAATGTAAAAAATATTTTAAGAAAACTGCTTGGCATTCTAAAGGTGAAAAGACTTTAGAATGAGATAAAAGGGAGAAGATTACTTTTAAAAATTCAGCGACATTAAAAATGTAATGACAGAAGTAAAATCTACATCGGGAGTAGGAATGTAGACTCCTGTAGCATTACTATGACAGACACCAGAGTCAATGACATGAAAGACAAACTTAAGATCTTTTCAGGTATGTGGTAAAAGAAAAAAGGATTCAAGTGAATGATATAGAGGACTGGGGCTGGGCATGGTGGCTCACGTCTGTAATCCCAGCACTTCGGGAGGCCAAGATGGGCGGATCACGAGGTCAGGAGATAGGGACCATCCTGGCCAACATGGTGAAACCCTGTCTCTACTGAAAATACAAAAATCAGCCGGGCGTGGTGGTGTGCACCTGTAGTCTCAGCTACTCAGGAGGCTGAGGCAGGAGGATCGCTTGAACCTGGGAGGTGGAGGTTGTAGTGAGCCAAGCTTACACCGCTGCACTCCAGCCTGGGCAACAGAGTGAGACTACATCTCAAAAAAAAAAAAAAAAAAAGAAGAAGAATATAGAGGACTGGATAGATTTATTTAAGAATTATACATTTCTGAGGAAGGTACTAGAAGAATTAGAACAACAATAATTAAAGATATCACTTTAAAAAACAAGACCTGACTATTCAAATTGAAAGGACTCACCATTCTAGATGATAGTAATGAAAAGAGGGCTATTCTAGAAATACCCTGGCAAAGGTTTGGGAATGCAAGTATAAAGAAAAAAATCACATCTATTAGTATTCTGTCATAAAGCAAGTAATTTATGAGGAAACAAAAATCTAGCTGTTCTCAGATAGCTCTCCAGTAAGAAATGCCAGAAGACAACAGAAAAAATACTTAAAATTTTTTGAAGAAAAAGACTATGACCTAAGAATTTTCTCAGCTGAATTTTTTTTCTCATATGTGAAGACAACAAATGAACAATCCCATATATTCAAAGGCTCAGGAAATAGAGCATTCATGTATTCTTCATGAAAATATTATTTGGAGACATACATCAGACACCCGAAAGATGTGAAAGAAGAATAGGGTATGGATTACACATAGTTCATGGCATTATGTAAATGTTATAAAGCAAGATGACATAGCTTGGGAAAACAAAAGCTGTGTCTAATAGCAGTACTTCCAAGCCATAACTTACAGTAGCCCAATTCTCAATAAATTGGAAGGCAGCTAAACAATCATACAGTGCTAGTATTTTATAGTGTCAGGGTCTATTCACATATAATCTCATTTAACCCATTTTAATTCCGTGAGATAAAAACCAATATCCCCATCTAAGATATGGGAAACTAAGACGTAGAAGAAAGCACTTGGCTAAGATATCATGGCTCGTAGGTGGCAGTCAAGAGGTGAGTTTGCAGTCTACAGATTTAACCTCAGACTATTCTGCTTCTAACATGACTATAGAAATGTATTGATCATTAGCTGCCTGAAGTTCTGTTCTTAACTCTAGGTGTCCAAAAGAAGATGAATTTTGTTTAGATAGCATTTTCCCATATCTAGGGCTGTTGGCTTTAAAGAAGTTCCCAGAAGTGAATCCAATTCCCAGAAGGATCAAGGTGGATTCTTTTGTGTGTTACTCTAACAGGTTGCTTTATATATATATATAAGTTATATAATATACACATATAATTTATGTATTATATATAAGTATGTATAACATCATATGTAATATATAAATATAGTACATTTCACACTGGTAGGACGTAATTCCAAACCACATATTTGTTTAACCAATTGAATTACTTGGATTTAGTTTCTATTTCCCTCTTTATTTCCTTCTGAAAATATTATACAAATAACATCAGTTTACAAAAAATAAAATCTGATATAGCTTTTTTATCATACACTAGGCTAGACTAAATGCATTCTGTGGATTGTTTACCTAGGACCAGATGGTATATTATAAAGTTGTATACAAATGAACAAGGACTGCCTGAAATGGATTGATAGCTGAGCACATTTGGCTGGAGCGTCTATTTTAGAAGGAAAACCTGAGAATCATATTATTTGAGTGTGATTCATGTGTTAATAGTATTTCAAGACAAGCCACTTAAAATATGTCCTGAGTGGTGATGCTGGAAATGATCTTTTCTTCAGTGTTTTCAAGTGTCTTCATTTAAGTGTACACATTTTGCCTACCTATAACACGTATCTACACATTGTGATTAAGAGAGCAAACTCTGAAATCAGACCTAGATTAAAGATCTTAATCTCTGCCAGTTGATTGGGCAAGTGACTTAATCATTCGACAGTAATTTCTGCATTTGAAAATGCCTATCTCAAGGGTAATGAGAATTACACTGGTTCACCAAAAGAATTACACTGACTAATATAAAACGTGCCAAGCATGTATGTGTCACATGAAGGCTCATTAAAAAGCGGATATTATTGTTAATCTTCCAATAACTACTATTTCCAACAACAGGCTGAAGGGGCTCAGAAACGTTTGTTGAGTAAAAACACAAGGAAACAGTAGCACAGATTTCCTGCTCTCCTTTACGATCGATGACCTGTCTAAGGACTGTGATCTCTGTTCACTACAGATTGTCACCTGCATTAATCTACTGTCACCCATTAACCTATCAAATAAGGCAGTCTAAAAACTCCAGGCGTCCCTTTCCGTAAGGACCCGGACTGTTGAACTGGAAAGCTAAAATTCAAGGCGTGACAATTGCCCTTTGTCCCACATTCCTCCACCGGTCGCCTGCTTATTTAAATGGTGCGTCCCCTCGGGTACCACTTGAACAAAACCTGCCCAGAGCGCTCCCTGTGTAGATTCGCTGGAAGCAGCTGGAGGCTCCAGTTCTCATCTGCTCAGGTGTCCCCGGCGCCTTGGCGAACTCGGCCACTCCAGTTCCTCACGTGGTGAGCACTCAGGGCAGCGGGTCGATTTTCCGAGGTCCCATACCTGGGTTTGAGGGGCGCGGCTCGCAGCGGCGGGTGCAGGGGCGACTGCCAGCCCTCACCCCGCCTCGGGGTGCGTTCGGAGGCCGACACCTGGAGGACGCCTCCAGTCCCCGCGGGACGCCACGCCTGCGCGCCAGGGATCCGGGATAAGAAGTGCGCGCCGGGCTCCGGCTGCGCGCCGCGGGGCCACCAGTTTGCGCGCAGGGCTCAGGCGACCGTGCGGCCATGGACACGCCACGGGGCATCGGCACCTTCGTGGTGTGGGACTACGTGGTGTTCGCGGGCATGCTGGTCATCTCGGCCGCCATCGGCATCTACTACGCCTTCGCTGGGGGCGGCCAGCAGACCTCCAAGGACTTCCTGATGGGCGGCCGCAGAATGACCGCAGTGCCCGTGGCGCTGTCCCTCACCGCTAGCTTCATGTCAGCCGTCACTGTCCTGGGCACCCCCTCCGAGGTCTACCGTTTTGGGGCCATTTTTAGCATCTTTGCCTTCACCTACTTCTTTGTGGTGGTCATCAGCGCGGAGGTCTTCCTCCCGGTGTTCTACAAACTGGGAATTACCAGCACCTACGAGGTAAGGGGCAGGGTGGGCTGGGACCATGCAGGGCGCGGGGGAAGGGGACTCTGCAGACCTCTGGAGGCGTTTTCTTGGGGGCAGACTGTCACTGCCACATCGAAATCTCTCCCCGTCCATCGTCATCATCACCCTCCCTTCACTCCTCCCCGTCCCCCGATCTTCACCTGGCATCTTTCCCTTCTACTGAGAGGCGTCCTCTAAGGGTGAAAAAATTCTTGGGATTTACTCTCCTGGGCTTAGTGAAAAAAAGAGGCTTCCAAAGTGAACGGATTGCAACAGTAGTGCTCGCTATGGTCCTTTCTACCTTTAGCATCTTTGATTCCCAGGCAAGGGGAAAGATTTTTGGGGAAGGTAAGTTCTTCAGGTCTCAGGCCCTGCTTCTTGAAAGGAATACTCTTGTTCCAGGTCCTCAGCCCCATTCACTCTTCCAAGATAGTTGGTAAAGAATTTGTACTCCCCTTCCTTCCCCTTCCACACCCACCCCCTTTCCACTGAAACAGGCACCCAAGTGGCTAAGGTGTACCAGTACCTGTATTTCGGACCAGATTCTACCACTTACTAGCTGGGTGACCTTGGGTGACTTACCCAACCTTTTGTGCCTATTCCTCAAAAATAAAATAATATCACCTACCTCATCCAGTTGGGAGGATTAAATGAGATGATGCAAGGTGTAGCATTTAGAATAGAGTTTGACACAGAGTAAGTGCCAGATAGGTATTGGCCATAATTACTGTGGTGGTGCTAGTTGTGATGGTGGTAGTTATCTTGGGATCAGTAGGAAAATTAGGCAGCAAGGTTCTCAAACAGCTCTGCCTTCTCTATGGAAAGACAATTAAGGAAAACTGTCTTTCCTCTATTGCACAGGTCCCCTGGCTATAGGTTTTCTCAAGTTGTCTGCAAGAAAGGGCTTTGAAAAGATGATGCACGTTTAGTTTAAAGAGCTGTTGAATGGGAGGTGGGGGCGGGATCAAAGCTCAGGGGAGTGGCGGGGCCCAGTTCAGTGCCTTCAGTGGTCTCCCTCACCCAGCACTGGTCCTTGAGCTACATGGGACAAGCCTGCAGAAGTTTCCTCTCTATTAGGCCATTACCCAGAGGACTCCAATCCTGAGATTCTGGCAGGTGGTTTCCTAGTGAGGCTGGTTCAACTGGTGCTGGGGACAGGGCCTTAACGGCACAACAAACATTGGTGACACACTCTGCCTGGGCTCTAGTGACATCTTCCAGGGCGAGGCACCCCTGGGCAGCATTGCCTTCCATTCACTCTGGGGCTGTGTTTGGGAGAGCTCAATAATTATCCCAGAAGTGAGCAGGATGCAGTTTCTCAGGTTTGCTCAGAAGTGACAAACTGGCGAAATTCCCCAGACCAAATTCACTTCTCAGTCATTTTTTTTTTTTACTTCTCCTTATAGTGAGAAGAAATAAAATATAATTTCAGACTATGACTTCTTTCGAGAACTCAAAAGGCTGGTAACACTGGGCCCATGCTCCCTGTGGCCACAGGAACTCAAGTTTATAGCTATTGCTCTCACTCTCTATTAAACTTCTATATTGAAGTCTTATCTTTGTGTTTTCATGGTTACTGTTTTTTTGGTAGAGAAATTTTTATCTGCATTTATGTCTTTATCAAAAAATGTGAAAGGCAAAATGGACAGGGGTAAAGGGATCTCTTGTTTCCAGGGAGATGTAAGAAAACATATATCTTAGTGGGTGGGAGGAATATTCCAACATGTTAATATGTGAACACCTGGCCACTGTCACTTATGTATGTTACCTGATGGAACCTGGAGGCATCTGAGTCTGTGAGCTGTGATCTATAGCTAACCAATTCCCAAACTTGGAAAGGGTTTGAAGAATCTGGCAGGAGGACTTCAGTCCCCACACATGAATGCTGCTCTCATAACCACTGACCCATGCCTCTTCGGGGCTACAACATTAACTCAAGCAGAAACAGATTTCCCTCATGCTTGCAGTGGTAGAGGCTAAGTTAGCAGGGGTTCCAGCTAAAAATGTCAAAAAGCAAAAGTTCATTGAATGCTGAACACATGCCAGGCACTGGGCTGCATTGCATGTTTTACATACATTATCTGACTCACATTCAGAACAATCCTTATGAGGCAAGTACTATCAAGAGCCCCATTTTGTGGACAGAGACTCAGAGTAAGTTAAGCTACTAGGAATGTGAAGCAGCGTAGACATATGCCTAGCAGCATACTGGCTGCTTCTGAAGGCTCTGATGAGTCTGTTATAACCCCAAGCAATGCTTACGCCAGTGCAGAGAGAACAAGGGAAGCAATATAGGACACGTGAAGTTGTGGGCACACTGCAGGCATCCACCTCCAGGGTGCCAGGCAGTTGGGAACGGGGAAGTTAGGCAACATGCTAAGACCCTCCCAATTGGTCATGGCAAAGACTTTCCTGTGGAGTATATTGTTTATTGTTTTATGCTGAGAGGTACAGAATCTATACAGAATATGCTGTACAGTGTTGAGTGATTGATACCCTGGCATTCTTGCTCAAGTATGAAATCTCTCCCTGTTGACATTTCTTTAGTGAAAATTAGCTGTTCACAAGCATTTTTTTTCATCCATCACTGCCTTCAAAATGTAGTCCTGATAGGTGTTTAGCAACTTCCAGACCCAAGTATAATGCAGGAATCCAATTTAATCCACCAATTCTTCAAGATCCTTCTGGAGCCAACTAAATCTGTGTTTTAAATTGAGTTGCTTAGACCTTATGTTTCTTTGTTATTTATATATTTATTCATATCAACAGAAGCAATTCAAAGTTCTGAGGACCACGAGAGATCTTGATTAATTTAGGCACCTATCATTACTCTGTAATTATGTCTAGAAGTCTTACAAGTATTCCCTAAGGCTGCTGCACAGTGACTTGGGCATCTGGTCCAGTCTCCGGGTATTTCTTCAGCAGCCTAGTAATTGATGGCTGAGATCATAATAGACTTCTTGGTTCTGTCTTGAGTTGGTCCTTGGGCTTAAATCACAGGTTTCCCTGGATCAGTTGATTAACTTACTTGCTTCAGTTTGGTTCAATTTATTTGGGTCTCCAGCAATTTGGATTCATGTACCTAGAAAAAACAAAGACTTCTCTTCTATTGATGTCCATTCACATGTTTAGTGATTCATAGAGATTTACAAAACAAACAAACCAAAAATAAACTTCTAAAGAAATATAATAATACTGCCTTGTTCCCAGACTTAATAAACTTCTCCAGTCTTCTAAAAAGGCTTCCAAAATATCCCTGAATGATTTTGACACTTGTAATTTATTGAGATTCAATTTTCTCCAGGCCCATTGATTTGGATACCAATAGGTTCTTAATATCTTACTTTTTGAGTTTACATTTCCCCATCCATTTATGTCACTGAATAGTCTCCAAACCCTGCAAAATGAGAGGGAAACAAATTATTATTATGCCCCTCATTTTAAAGAGAAAGAACCTGACATTTGGAGAATGATTGCCACAAGCTGATGGAGTCAGGCGTGGGACTGGGTCAAGGGCTGGAACTCTTCCTCCAGTGTACTACAAGGCACTGTGTATTTTTGTCACCGATCAGTGATCTGGGAGTGAGGTCTTACTCTGTGTTAGTTTCACCCATTCACTTATTGAGTCTTAAATATGTAGTCAGATTATTTACTTATATATGCAGAAAAATGTGCACAGATTTTGGCATCAAAGGTTTTAAATGTGTACTGTGGCCCTGGCAAGTTTGCAAGGTTTTCAACTTGATGTTCTATCTGAGGCCCAGTGTTCTTGTCTCTAACATGGGTTTATACACAGTACCTGGCTCATAGAGTTGTTGGGAGGACCATGCACACAGCAAGTACTCTGTATGTGTTAGCCATGATCACGGGGCAAAAAAATCAGATGTCTTTTCCTCTGATTATTACCTAATGCCAGTTTTTCCTTCCTCTTCTTTTCTACTCTATGAAGATTGTTGTCAGCCTTAAACTTCTTAGTAATTATATTCAAGTTAAAGAAAATCTTAGCTCCCAGCTCTGAAATTCTATGATCCTAACTCTGTAATATGTATATTATAATACATTATATAACATAGTAGACAAGCAGACTATGTTATAAGACATAGCAGATTTCAAGTAGAATAGGAAAAATTGGCATGGTCATTGGCACTGAACAGAAACTGACTTGGGTGATTTAAGTTTAAAAAAACAATTGTTAGAAGGACATGGGGGTAGCTCATAGAACAGAGGGACAGGCTGAGTAAGCAAGCCTTGGAAAGGACAGAAACCGGGGCAGCCTTTTCAGGCCACTCTGTCAGGATCAGTCATTTTTTGTCTTTGTATCCTGCCTTTAAGATTCAAATACCCAATGGAAGGAAAAGCTGATTGGCTGAGCTGGGATCATGTGATTTCCTCTTGGTCAGAAGAGGCAGGGCAATTGGCTGACTATTCCATCACAATAGTCTGCAGTCAGAAAGGGTTGATGCCCCAGGTGAGCCAAGAAAAATGTATGGAGTAGATACCAAGAGAAAGAGAACAACAGATTGCTCGCTCTAAAAATACAGAAAGTAATTTCATTTATATGACATTCTGGAAAAGGCCAAACTAGAGAGGGAAAGCAGATCAGTGATTGCTAGGGTTTGGCGGGGGAGAAGAGGGCTTGATCATGAAGGGGAAGCCCGAGGGAGTTTTCTGGGTGATGGAACTGTCTTGTGTCCTGATTGTGACAGGGGTTACATGAATCAGTGTGTGTTAAAACCCATTGAACTGTACTCTAAAACAAAAGAGTCAATTTTGCTGTGTATAAATAAAAATAACACTAAAATAAAAATACAGAATACAAATCAGTTATGAAGTTGCTTTACATTTCTAAATTTAAATTTTCTTCTTGAGCTGCTGATTTTAAAAAAGGCATCCAGAGGATTCGCATAATTTTTTTTTTTGCAACAGTATTTAGAACTTCGATTTAACAAATGTGTTCGTCTCTGTGGAACAGTCCTCTTCATTGTTCAAACAGTAAGTAGCTCTCCATTTATTTTATCTTTTGTCAGCTAAAATGTTTTTAACCATGGCATCTGGATTAAGCTTACCTGGGAATCACATAAAAGACAAAAAAGAGATGTTGAAAAAATGAGGGAACAAAAAAGGAAAAACACTTGTCACTGTACAGCATCAACCCTTAAGATCATCAAACAGTGTTTCAGTAAATGCTTTACTTCCTGGGATTTAAGTGAATGTTAAATATTATACTGATAAAGCAACAGTCGGAAAATATGCTTCCCTTTATCTGACCTCCCTTCACCTCCACCAAGGTGACAGGAAGGGCATTACTACATGACAAAGATATTTGTTGCTGACAGTGGGAATTCTAACAAAAGGAAAACAAGTAGCATGTTCACAGTATTTCTGTAACATATTAATAGGTATGAAAAAATTAACTTCCATAGGAAGACAGTAGGAAATAATTTTCTTTGAAATCGTACTTTAAAAGTCAGTGCTCTTTTAAAAATTAGACTACAAGAACCAACTAAAGCAGTCCTTAGAGTGTAAAACAACAGAATCAAAACTCTGGAGGACTCTTTAAAGCCAAATACTCAATCCAGTAATTCAAGAACATGCGCTTATAGATCTACTGATTGACACAAAGGGAAAGCAAGGATTTGCCAAGTGGTCAGTGACAGAGAATGCTTTCCACTGTTCACCGTGCTTCTGGAAGATTGTAATGATCATTGTCATGACTATTTATATACACATTTTCCTCTTGTCAGTTAAGCACTTTAGGGCTGGGTTTGCTAATGGAGGTTGTGGAAGAGATTTGCATTCTTGTCTCTAATTGCAATTCCACTTCTCCAATCAAAAGCTACCTAAGGGCCAGCCGCGGTGGCTCATGCCTGTAATCCCAGCACTTTGGGAGGCCAAGGCAAGTGGATCACCTGAGGTCAGGAGTTCAAGACCAGCCTGGCCAACATGGTGAAACCCCATCTCTACAAAAATACAAAAATTAGCCAGGCATGAGGGCAGGTGCCTGTAATCCCAGCTACTGGGGAGGCTAAGGTGGGAGAATCACTTGAACCCAGGAGGCAGAAGTTGTAGTGAGCCGAGATCATGCCATTGCACCCCAGCCTGGGTGACAGGGCAAGACTCTGTTTCAAAAAAAAAAAGGAAAAAAAGCTGCCTTAGGATTTGCTGCAGTGAGACAGAGTGCCTTTGTAAATTATGTAACTTGACTCCATTTTATATCTTTGCAAATTATATAACTTAAATTTTATCAGTCCTTAACAACTGCAGTGTAAAAGGAAGGAATCCTTTGGTGTCTCTTAGAGACTTGAGCCTGGTAGCTTGCATTCACCAACTGTTCAGAACCTCATTGGATCTTTGTTAGAGATGCCAACAGAAATCAGAAGTAGGGATAAGTGTTAGGAAGGTGGCCTGTGGTCATGTTTTTAAATCTTCAACTTGGACAGAATAATGACTGTGGAAAGTTAGTTCATTTTTGCAAAAAGAGGGGAGCTTTACCACCTCCCATTTGAAGGACTTCATAGCTCTACTCATGTAATATAATCAAACATTCAAAGGTACTGAATAGATTTTTATTTTCATAATATGCTTTTATAGAATAATCATGGAATTTGCTTTTATGGGATATATTTGAAAGATCAAGTGCAATCAAAATTACATTTTGAGAAAAAGACCGTATTTATCTTACTCACTACTGTACCCCAGATCAATAAATAGTTAAGTGTATGAATGAAAATAATGAATAATATTAAAAAGATTGAATGTGGTTTTCATTGGCTTTCAGGATTTTTTTAGTGCAAATTTATACTTTTGTTTAATTTATGAACAGTAAAAGTTTAGAAATAGGCTTTCCAAATTTTTACTATTTTCTTGATTAATTATGCAGGGATTAACAGTTTGAAGACATAATTGAGGGGTCATCCTCTTTTATATTATTATTATTTATTTTTTTCTAATTATTTCAGATGTAGGAAATTTTATTTCAAGCTTGAGTTGGTGGATCAGTGACCATTTGCACTAAGCACCATATAAAAGTCCGTATTTTTACATAAGCCGGTCACAAAAAAATATTTGTAACTTATGACCGGTCATACCGTAAACAGAAGAGTCAACTTTACTTAAATATTTTGCAAGTTACAAACAAATTTTATTAGGTGTTTTGAAACTGTTGTTTTAAGTCATAATTGAAGTTATAGGAAAACAATCAATATTTTATAACTCAGACGTAATTCATGAATTTTATAATTCATATAATTCATTTGGCTTTCTTTCTCCCCCCTAGATTCTGTATACTGGAATTGTTATTTATGCCCCTGCCCTGGCTTTGAATCAAGGTACATTTTAGAGTTGCCAGTTAGGTAACTCACATTTTGGGGTTCACTTTCAACAAGCCTTATTTTCTCCTTGGGGAGATGGGGAGATGGAGGAATGCTTCTAGTAACCTGCATCAGCTTTACTTAGCGGGGCAGGATGGGTTCAGTGTCTACACTAGCTTCTTTGGGTTTTTGGATGGACAGCTCCAAAGTGTCTGTAGACCACAGAGGTGGACTTCTCCAGGTGGTACTTCTCTGGGATGTGCCCATCAGCCCATTCACTCCTTTAGAATTAAAGCTCCCTGTAGCCAAAGTCAGGATTGACGGCATCCCCTCTTGTGAATCTATAACCTGGAGCCCATCTCCAGGAAGCTTCCCTGTAATTCTGCTCAGGCCTGTTGTAAAATCTGGCAGGGAGAAAAGCTTTTCTTCTCCACACTTCTAATAAGGCCCAAAATGAAAGAGAAAGAGAGCCATGTGATTTGAATGATCAGACTGCTCCTAGTGACAAAAGGACAGATGTCTGTAGTGCCCTTACAAATAAATTTAGGAAGATTGTGCTGCTCAACAAAGTACCCATACTCTCTAGATTTGGGAAGATAAATGCAGTGAGGCTGGGATAGTTTATTGAAGCAAACGTTCATGCTAGTCATAGTTTCAAAAGGCTTTGGGGAAACACCATGCCCTTTGAATTCTTATCTATTCGAAGTGAATTTCTCTAAAACGTCCTTGTAAAATGGACATGTGGACTCTGTGATGGGAAGAATGTGGTACAATTCCTGGGGTTAAAATGACATGAAGAAAACCTACTAATTCCACACTCTGTTTTCTTGATTTTATGATAGACATGACAGTAGTTACCACCTGTTTCTGAAGTGAACAATATTATTACCAAGAGGAACTTCATGTGTAAGGTGCTCTTGAACTCTGAATTCTGGGCATGTTCCACATCGGTATTACCAACATCACAAGTGGATCATCTCATTTGTCGAGAACTGAGTTATAAACTTCATGAGTTACCTATTTAGGACTTAAGTGTAATTGAACATATTATGGTTTTAAAATGCAGTTCTGGGAATTACCAGAGGACTGACTTTAATCTGTGAAGAAATCAAGCATTCTGTTCTTATCAGGCTCAAACCACTCCCTGAGAGTAAATTAGAATGAAAGTGAAGGTGTTTTGATGACTAGAGTGTCAGTTGTGTGTTTTACTGTGACCAAAGCTGTAGGTACAGGCATAGACACAGAACTTAGTGTGCAATAGATGCTCAAAAAAGCTTATTTAACTGAATTGAAAATTAACATTCTCTAGGTCTAACCTCTTTTTTTCTTTTTTAAATTTTGGAAATCCTCATACAAATACTAAGAGAGAATAGAGCCCCTTAATGTGCTCATTCATCACTCTATGTTAATATTTATCAACTCATGGTCCATTTTAATTCACTCCCCCTTACCTCTAATAGATTATTTTGCTGCAAATATGTTATGTCATTTCATCTGTATTTCAGTATGTCCTTTAGAAATAAAGACTTTAAAAACCATAATCATACCATCATTGTACCTAAAATATTAATATTAATTTCTTAATTTCATATCAAGTCAGTGTTTACATTTCCCTGATTTTTTTTCAGTGTTTATAAGAATCAGGATCCAAATAAGCTTATGTGATTGCAATCAGTTGATGTCTCTTAAGTTTCCCTTTTCTGCTTTTTAAAATTGAAAACCAGTTTTTCTTTCTTTCTTTTTTCCTGACCACCTGATGCCTGTTGAGAAAACTAGTTTTTATTGAGGTATAGTTAACATACAATAAAATGCACAGAGCATGGGGAAGTGTACAGTTGGATGAGTTTTAGTAGTTGCCTAATAGCTTGTGTGACTACCACCCCGCTCAAGATATAGACTATTTCCGTCATCCACTCTCAGAAATTTTCCTTGCATGTCTTTCTAACAAATCTCCTATGGGCCCAAGAAATCATTTTCTGAGTTATGCTACCATAAACTAGTTTTCCCTGTTGTTAGATTTTATATAAGTGGAATCATATAGAGCCTTTTCATGTCTGGTTTCTTTTGCTCAGCAAAATGTTTTGAGATTCATTCATGCTGCTACATATATATCAGTAGTTCATTCCCTTTTTTTTTTTTTTTTTTTTTTTTTTTTTTTTTTTTTTTTTTTTTGCTGGTAGTACTTCATTTTATGCCTCTACCAACATTTTTTTATCCATTCTCTTGTTATAGACTTGGGTTGTTTCCAGTTTTAGGCTATAGTGAAGTAAGGGTGCCAAGAACATTCTTCTAAAGGTTTTGTGCATTTTGTTTTTCTTTTTCACACCTGTTTTCACTTCCATTGGAAATGAAATACATGGATGTAGTATAAAATTAAAAATATAATTCTATTTGGACCCAGCTGAGGATAGAAATGTGTGCAAATTTACAAGAAATTGCCAAACAGTTTTTCCAAGTGGCTATATCGTTTTCCATGTCCACTACGCAATATGTGAGAATTCTAGTCATTCCACATCCTTGCCAGCATTTGATATTATTCTTTTTTATTTCAGTCATTCTAGTGGGTATTACCTATTATTTTATTGTTGTTTCAGTTTTCACTTTCTATATGACTATTATGGCTTAGCTTATTATTAGACTATTATGGCTTAGCTTATTGGCTTCTGAAATAATAAAGTGAATAAAGACAAATAACCTAATAAAAAGTGAGCCAAAGACTTGAACACTTCACAAAAGCAGATATTCTTCTAATACATTACATGATATATCTATTCATTTACCTAGGCCTTTAAAAATTTCTCTTAGTGCTCACTTTGGCAGCATGTATACTAAAACTGGAACAATACAGAGAATATTAGCATGGCCCTTGCACAAAAATGATATGCAAATTTGTGAAGCATTCCATATTTTTTAAAAAAGGAAGAAAAGAAATAATAAAATAAAAAGTCTCTTAGTAATGTTTTGTAGCTTTGGATGTTGAGGTCTTTTACTATTTCTTAGATTTATTCCTAGATAATTGTTGTTTTTTATGCTATTGCAAATGTCATTGTTTTATTTTTCAATTATTCGTTGCAAGTGTATAAAAATACAACTGACTTTTATATGTTGATATTCCATCCTGAGAACTTGCTGAATTTGCTTTTTAAATCAAGCAGATTTTTGGTGATCCCTTAGGATTTTCATGTTGTTTATGAATAGTGACAATTTTACTTCTTTTCTAATCCTTATAGCTCTTAGTTCTCTTTCCTGTCTTATTGTAATGTTAATGTGAAAAGTTACATTGACTGAATTTTGAATATTAAACCAATTTTTGCATTCTTGGGATAAACCCTGCTTGCTCATAATGTATTATCCTTTTTATATATTACCGAATTCGATTTGCTAACATTTTGATAAGGCTTCATAAATGAATTGAAAAGTGTTCCCTCCTCCATTTTCTGAAATAGTTTATATAAAATTGTGTATTTATTTCTTACATGCTTGGTAGAAATCACCCTGAAGGCATCTGGGCCTACTCTTTGTTTTTGTAGAAAGATTTTGGTTTATGGATTCAGTTTATTTCGTAAATATAGAGTTATTCATATTTTAAAAGTCTTGTTGGGTCAGTTTTGGTAAATTGTATTTTTTAGGGAATGCTTCCATTTGGTCTAACTTATCAAATTCATTAGCATAAAACTGCATATAATACCCTCTTGTTATGCTTTTAATGTTTATAGTATCTATAGTGACATCCCTTCTAATTATTCCTAATATCGATAAGTTTTCTATCTTCTTATTTTGATATATCTTTCCAGTATTCTATTGATGTTTTAAATCTCTTCTAAGAATCAGTGTTTTGGCTCATTGATTTTCTTTGTTTTCTATTTCATTAATTTGTGCTATTTATTGTTTCTTTTCTTCTAATAACTTTGGGTTTTCTAGCTTCTTAAGGTAGGCGCTTAGGTCATTGATTTTAAATATTTCTTATTTCATAAAGCAAACATTTAAAGTTATTAATTTTTTTGAAACACTGCTTTATCTGCAGCCCATATATTTTGATACCTTGTGTTTTTATTTAGTTCTCAAAATATTTTCTAACTTCTCCTGTGATTTCTTTTGCCCATGGGTTATTTATAAGTGTATTGCTTAATTTTCAATATTTGAGGATTTTCTATCATGTCTTTTTGTTATTTATTCCTAAATTAATACTGCTTTGGTCAGAGAACTAATATGATTTTAATCATTTGAAATTTATGGATTTGTTTTATGGCCCAGGATCAGGTCTGTCTTGAACATTCCATATGCTCTCAAAAAGAATGTATATTGTGTGCTTTTTGGATGTAATGTTCTATAAGGTCAAAGGTTTAGTTGGCTAATAGTGTTATCACATCTTTGATATCTTTATGGAATTTGTTTTACTTGTTCTACCAATTGCTGAGAGAAGGATGCTAAAATCTCCAGATATAATTATCAATTTTTCTATTGCTGCTATTTCTCTGTCAATTTTTACTGAATGTATTGTGAGGCTCTTTTAAAGTCTCTTTTTAAATTTACAATCTCCCTTCTATTCCTTTTCATTTAAATTGCAACATATTTGCAGAAGAAACTGGGTTATTTGTTCTGTCCAGTTTTCCAGATTCTAGGTTTAACAATTACATCTGTATGGGGTCATTTAATGTTCACCATTCCTCTGTATTTCTTGTAAACTGGTAGTAGTTTACTAGTAGTAGTTAGATCTAGACTCTTTTTCAGACTCCACTTCAACTTTTTGGAAATCATATTTCATAGGCAATATCTATAAGTTTATTTCCTTCAGGAGTCCCAGAATGTCATTTGAAAAATTATCAGCAGCTATTGATGATCATTCTAGATTCATTATTTCATTGAGGCTTATAAAATGGAGTATTCTAGTTCTGTGAATTCTTCTTCATTAGTTAGATGGAATACTGCTATAAAGAGAAACTTCCTCTTATCAACTATTTGCTTTCTCTGAAAAATAGTTTGTATAGGAAAGGGAGGATAAATGTCAGATTTTTCCCCTTATGAATTTTAAAAATAATAAATTGGTTTCCTACTATCCCCCAAGGGTGACTGAGATTTTTAAAAAATTCTTACGAACTCATGGATTTAAAGGTTTGCTGTTATTTCATAGCATTATCGTTAGTATTATTATTGATGCTCAAATTGTCCCATTTTTATCCAGCCGGAGCCCCCTTAAGTTCCTCCTGATTTTAGCCTTGGCTGCATATTGGACTCACTTGCGGGGTGGGGGAGCTTTCAAAAATACCAATACCTCAGTCCCCATCACCAGAACTCTGAGTTAATTAGGCTGTTGAGTGGCCCAGTTATCAGGATTCCATAAATTTCCTCTGTTGATTTTAAGGTGCAGTCACAATTGAGAGCCATGGATGTAATAGTTTTAGAATAGCAACTCTAAGCCATAATGAATAATATAATGGCCTAACACAGTTAAAAATATTATTCTTTGTTGTTCTTTTTTCTTGGGTGTATCTCAGTAGGAATGTATGTTAAATTACTGTGTTAAATATTTTGTGACATGTTTCCTCTGTGTGGTAATGTCACAAACTTGATATACAGTTAGGTTCCATTTATTTCATTTTGCAATTGATTTTGAGGAGTTTTTTTTTCTAATTTAACTTTATATTTATGTGGAATATTTATGTGTTCCAAAGTGAAATCTATACATCAAAATATGTTTAAAGTAGCCTGACTTGTATCTCTGTCTTCTCTACCCTGTTTTCTCCCTCTCCTAGGAGTAATTTTTTGGCTTTGATTTATCCTTTAATTTTAGTATATGTACTGCTGAAACAAGCACAATTCTTTTCTTTTAAAAAAATGAAATAAAGTCCCCACTTCTTAGATAAATAGGAGCAAATTATAAAGACTTTTCTCCATCTAGATCCCATTTTGGTAGCACATATCTTAGTAACGCCTTCTTCAAGGACTGGTGAAATTGCGTGTTTACATGGACACACAGAGGAGAACAACACACAGTGGGGCCTATTGGAGGGTGGAAGGTGGGAGGAGGGAGAGGATCAGGAAAAACAACAAATGGTTTAATGGGTACTAGGCTTGATACCTGGGTGATGAAATAATCTGTACAAGGAACCCCCATGACACAAGATCACCTATGTAACAAACCTCCACATGTACATCTGAACTTAAAAGTTTTTTAAAAAGCATTACCGGCCAGGCGCGGTGGCTCACGCTTGTAATCCCAGCACTTTGGGAGGCTAAGGCAGGTGGATCACGAAGTCAGGCGATTGAGACCATCCTGTCCAACATGGTGAAACCCGTCTCTACTAAAAGTACAAAAAATTAGCTGGGCATGGTGCTGCGTGCCTGTAGTCCCAGCTACTCGAGAGGCTGAGTCAGGTGAATTGCTTGAACCCAGGAGGTGGAGATTGCAGTGAGCTGAGATCACACCACTGCACTCCAGCCTGGTAACAAAGCAAGACTTCGCCAAAAAAAAAAAAAAAAAAAAAAGGAATTACCATTACCTTTATTAAATTTCTGAAATCAGATCCGCAATCTGCAATGTTATAAAGATTACATTTGAATCCTTTCGTGTTGTCTTCATTTGAATCTATACATCATAGCAATTTGATATTGTCATTATATTGTCAGTATGATACATTATCCTCAAATTCAGGTATTTGCAACATTACATAAAAATAGAGTGTTTATTTGAACCGCGTCTAATCGGGAGAGAGATAAGAAATACCCATCACAGTATCAAGGAGTTTCTTAGCTTAATTACAATATAAACGCCTTTCCATGTATTGAATTAAGCCAGTGTCAGATCTGTGTGTCTGAGAGTAGAAAATTATCAAATACAATTTTAAACTCCATTTGTTTTTGAGACATTTATGAGATTTGGAGCTAGTTTTAGCTTTAGGCAAGTGGGTATAGAGGAAGGTGCCTGATAAATGATATAGCTTCCTTCTCTGATGATTTTTGAGGATTATTTTTATTGTGCATATTTCACAATTATATATGCATTCTATTTTTTTCTACAGTCACAGGATTTGATCTGTGGGGCGCGGTAGTGGCAACGGGGGTGGTCTGCACATTCTACTGCACACTGGTACGTCCAGGACATATTTCCCTTTTCACTCTACCCACTTGCTTTGCAAAATTGAAAATTCCAGTTGTTGTATACCGCAATCTTGTTTGTCCACACTTACTCTCCTATTCCCAACCTCCTGCAGTGTAACTTTTTTTGTGTGAGAAATAATCTGTAGTATAATTTGATCCTTTGTAGAAAATGGAGCATAACTGAAATTTTTTCTTTTATCTGATCCATTGCAATGGTTCCTAATCTTGTCTCTTGATTCATCTGTACTGTTGCCAAGTTATTATATTTGTGCTC
This sequence comes from Homo sapiens, assembly GCF_000001405.40. NCBI lineage: Eukaryota > Metazoa > Chordata > Mammalia > Primates > Hominidae > Homo > Homo sapiens. The sequence continues at coordinate 63,487 of NW_003315942.2, forward strand.
ATACTATTCCTCAGCTTAAAAACCTATCATAGGTCATAGGCACAGTGGCTCCCACCTGTAATACCAGCAATTTGGGAGGCCGAGGTGGAAGGATCACTGGAGCCCAGGAATTTGAGACCAGCCTGGGCAACAAAGTGAGACTCTGTCTCTACAAAAAAACAAAAAAAATTTTTTAAAATTAGGAGGCATGGTGGCATACACCTGTAGTCCCAGCTACTCAGGAGGCTGAGGTGGGAGGATCGCCTGAGCCCAGGAATTTGAGGCTGCAGTGAGCTGTGATTGCACCACCGCACTCCCGCTTGGGCAGCAAAGAAAACCCTGTCTCAAAACAAAAACAAATCTGTGATAACTTCCCCTTGCTTATAGGTAGGGGTGACAAAATATGCAAAATCAGTATGGCATGGCACTGATATTATTATGTGTGCTGGTCCGAGGCAGTGAGAAAATCTTATGGAATCCTTGACACTCTATGTCTTAACCCTTTAGGTGCTGGATCTTGTAGAAGATGGGGCCCTCAGCCAGGTGCTGGTTCTGCTTAGGTCATAGAGAAACTTGGGAAATTTCTTGTGGTGGCTAGTACAGATCACTTATAGTATATAACAGTGGAAATGACCATCTGAGTGAAAACCAATTAAATATCACCTCTGCCTGTAGGATAAAATTCATATTATTTACTAGTAATTTGACTCGGATTTTTCTTCCCAACAATCTCCCGACACCACTCCACTTTATTCTGTGGAATGTATCTGGCCCCATTCAGCATGCCATGTAGTTTCACTCCTTTATGTTTTTGCCCATGCTGTTTTCTCTGCTGGGCGGAACCTCCATCTTTGCCTCTGCTTATGTTTGAAGACTTGATTTAAATATATCCTTCTGTATGAAGATTCTCCCAACCTGACTGTTTCCCTTGAGTGCACTTCTTAGCCAACATTCATGTTTATATCATTTTTCTCCAGTATAGTGTATAAGTGTGTAGATGCTTAATAATGTCTAATAGAAGCATTAATCCTAATATACTTTCCCCTCAAAGGGTGGTCTTAAAGCAGTTATCTGGACAGATGTTTTTCAAGTTGGGATCATGGTGGCTGGATTTGCATCCGTGATTATACAGGCTGTGGTGATGCAAGGTGGAATCAGCACTATTTTAAATGATGCCTATGATGGTGGAAGATTAAATTTCTGGAAGTAAGTGTCTAGTACTTGGGTAACTGAACACATCTTTTGTATTCTATAAAAATAATCTCTTTATTGAAATAGTAGATTTACATTAAAAAACAAGCCAACAAATTGCTAAGGATGTGGTAGAGCAAATTGAAGCAGAGAAGTAAATACGTAAGGAGCCTCCCTCTGTTCTTTAAGGGATTAAACCTGTCAGATGGTACTTAGCTACATGGTGCTTAGAGCAATGTTTCCTTCTGAGAAGGGACTTAAAGCAAAAAAAGTATTTTCTTCCAGGTATTAAAGTCCAGAATAGGTTGAAAAGTGGGACAGGGTGATAAGGAAAGAGACAGTGGAAAGTTAAGAAAAGGCAGCTTCTGGCCAGGCACAGTGGCTCACACCTGTAATCCCAGCACTTTGGGAGGCCAAGGTGGGTGGATCACCTGAGGCCAGGAGTTCGAGACCAGCCTGGCCAACATGGCGAAACCCCATCTCTACTAAAAATACAAAAAATTAGCCAGGTGTGGTGGCAGGCACCTGTAATCCCAGTTGCTTGGGAAGCTGAGGCAGGATAATTGCTTGAACCCAGGAGGCAGAGGTTGCAGTGAGCCGAGATCACGCCACTGCACTTCAGCCTGTGCAACAGAGTGAGACTCTGTCTCAAAAAAAAAAAAAAAAAAGAGAAAAGGTAGCCTCTTAAGAGACAAACACTAGCATATTGGATTAGCACCTGCCATAAAAAAAAAAAAGAGACAGAGACAGACACTGAAAGACAGTGATTTCATTTTGACAATTCTTTGTTTTAAGCAACTTTGAGAGTTTCTCTTTTGATATTGCCCTGGCAATCTATAGTATATTAACATAGTAGCTTATGATTATGTATTATAATTCTATGTATGTGTATGTATTATATAATGAACATTATCTAATATGAAGTATTATTTCTAGAGAATTGACTAGGAAAGTTACAGTCTATGCTTCAAATGACAGTACAGCACATGATGTAACATGTTTTAAGCAGTTATTCAGTTTTCCTAAAGAAAGAACAATGAAGAGACTAGATATTTCATCCCAAGTATATCACACAATTCAAAAGAATATTGAAAACGCCTTCCGTTTTGGATCAATAGTGTTGTCCTTTTGCAATATGGAAAGGGACAACCCATGTTGTCTTGAATTAGCCTATCTTCTCTTTGAGATCGCAGCCCCGCTTTAACATAGGCAGTTTGAAGAAAAAAAAACCCATTTTGCACTTGGTGGCTCTTTTCTGGTCTTCTGAAAATAAGCACCAAAGTTTGAGAAAAAGCTTTTTCAGAAATTGGACAGGGTCAATGTGTTAATTTACAGGGATAAATTTTAGTGAATCAACTTTGACTATTTTCAATATTTCTTTCCTTCTTTTAGCTCAAGATTCAGATTCTAAGGAAAAGAGGCTCTAGTTGCCTAGCTTGGACCTTGGTTCCACCCCTTGGCCAGGGCAGAACAAGATATTTTGACTGATCGTCAATTGAGACTATTTAATGGAGAAATGGTAGTTTCCCCAAAGCAAACCTGGGTTGCTTTTACCAGAACAGGGAGGGGGGAAGTCCAGGAAGTGGAAACAACCAATGACTACTCTTGATTGCTCCCAAATCTCTTCCTGGTAGGCCAGGCTGAGGAGAGAGGGTATGGAACCAATCATTTTTCTGCAAGATAGCTGTCACTTTATATGAAGGATACATATATTGGAGCACAGAAGTGATAGCTTATACACATTAGTAAGAGATTTTTAAAAAAAGATTAAACATTTTTATGACCTTAGTTTTGAAAGTCATTAAGTAACAATAAAAAGCCTTATTTGTGTTTCATACTTTTCAAGAGTATCCCTTGTTATTCTGATATGTTTTGAGAATATGATAGACAAAGTATTGCTCAAGTTAAGATAAATGAAGAGAAGAAGGATATTGTATTGGTATTTTCTGTGTCGTCTGCCATTGGCCTATGTATTCTGTATGGCCTAAACCACTAAAGTGAGTGTTTTAAATCTTGTCATACTTCCCTCAGATAGCTTACTGGCTCCTTTTGGCTCTTCAGTTAGCTAATATAGTAGCTTCTCTCTCTTGGGGAGAAAGGGTCAACAGTCTTGAAACTCTTACACTTTGATATGAAATGTTAGACATGAAATAGAGGCTCTCACATTTCCATAAGAATGCCAGAATACACATACAATTAGAGCACTTAACTGATCTCAAATATAAGATTTGAAATGAATTTGCAAAATTTCATAATTTTAAGGAAGTCTCCATGAAAGCTAACTTTGCAGAAAGTTTTCTAGCTCATATTGTATATCAGAGATGAACAAAATCATTCCTTCCAGTAAAAAAGATTAAAAGATCTTTCAAACATGGAAGTTGAGCTTTCCCTGTGACAATGTTTTGGACTTATGTACATGATGTCATAAAGTGGCTTTAAACTATTAGTATTTAGCTTGCACGCACAGCATTTTAATAAAGCATGATTACAATGACATGCAGTTTTTAGAAAATGCAAAACTTGAAACTGCATTAATTGACTGATTTGTTGAACGTGAATATAGATTAGAACTATGATTACATGTGCTGGGAGAGGAATTCTATACACAAAATGTGTTGATTTCGTGTTCATTTTAGTGCCATCTCGTCTGCTGTGGTGCACTTAGGAATGTTTTTCTCTTTCTCTTTCTCTATGTTTCATGTTCTTCTCTGATTATATCATGTCAGATTTGTTTAAATGACAGTTTCCTTAGATCACAGGAGAACAAGTTATATAAATGCTCAGAAGGATTGCAACATTCATTTCCCCCAGTCTCTTCTAGTATTTTCAGATCTCTGAAAATAGTATTTTTTATTTCATTGAACTTAAGTTGGAAATATTTCTACCTTTTAAATTAATTAATAAATTTTTACATATTTATGTATGTGTTGTGTATATAAATGTGCATTGCTTGCTTCCAAATATAGTCTAAGAGAATTTTTTTTAGTCTCTGCTAATAGTTCAGATTTGTTTTCTGTTTCTTGTCATTTAGTTTTAATCCTAACCCTTTGCAAAGACACACCTTCTGGACAATTATTATAGGAGGGACCTTCACATGGACCAGCATCTACGGTGTCAACCAATCCCAGGTGCAGAGATATATTTCTTGTAAAAGCAGATTCCAGGCAAAACTGTAAGTCACACACCATGGTATATGAATCATTAATAACCATCAGTTGTCTTTATGGAAACTCTTTCATAAGTCACGTTTAGCTCCTTTATGTCTTTTGTGTCATGAAATTCCAAGAGATAAATGATATATTTGGTTACAAAAGGACCAAGAACAAATTGTTACTGTATGTTTTAAATCAGCTATTTGAAAATATTTATAGGAATTATTAATGAAAACAAATCAGCATTTATTGTGCATCTGTTTGCATAAGAACCCATGGGGGATAAATATATATGGCTTTTGTCTGAAGAAAATTAACCTCAAATTAGGAAAATACATGCAAGTATGTGAAAAAATAAAATAATACTGGAGATATGTAACAGTTTCATGAAATGATATAGCAATAGAGAAAATGTTCCAGAGTACATATAGTGCTTTATATTTCATTTTCAGACACAGTCATGGATTTATAACCCTGCTCTAATATTTGCTATTTGAGTGATCCTGGGCACATTCTGCAGTCTCTTTGAGCTGCAGTTTCTAAACTTGTAAAAGGAGCATAAGAAATACTATACACCTCATGGGAGGTGTCGTAAAATACTGTGTTTGGCATACGCATGGTAAAGGCCTAGTATATGTAAGTTCCTTTTTCCACTTCAACTGATGTGATGTGAAGGTGGAGGATGGATGAGAGATTCCTATTGAACTGGCAGAATGAATATGAAGAATGATCATAATTTGGGCAGGTGGAGAAGAGTAGGAAGGCATTCTAGGTAGGTGGAGTGATTTGGATGAACGCACAGAGGTAGGAAGGACAGCATGGTCCAGAACTCTCAAGCCCATCTTGGCTTGAGCAAAGAGTGTGGAATGGTGGCTGGTTCCTTCTCTGGAGGCCTCACATCACTGCAGTGCTCACCACTCCCTGTGCTGATAAATAGGCTGACTCTGCTGACATGCTTTTAGGGGCTTTAAAGCTCTAAGGAGATTGAATAAGAGTCCAGGGTGGATAGGGTGAGGGAAGGAGGACAATTCTATTTCTATTTAAAGGAGAAAATGAAAATATTGTGATGTCATATGTCAGAACTCAATATATTGAGAGTAAATTGGTTTAGAGATTACCTAAATCTTTGAAGAACTCACAGTGAAAAATCTATATGAATATGGATATAATAACCAGATATGGGATCCCCCCAAAATGAACTTAGGAATTCTGGTATTTTACGGAATATTGGAGGAATGTAATTTATAGATAGAGTAGTCTATTGTACTTTTAAATCTATACTAGAGCTGATACCTCTCCCAGAGTAATTGTGGACAAGCTCTTCTTCTCTTCCCTTGGGAACATGAAACCCAAAAAGCCCGACTTGATAACTTAAATAGCAGCATTAGAGCTTTCTTGATAAAAATCAATTCCCATAAGCATAGTAGATCTCCTGCATGAAGCAGACTCTCGAAACCCAGGGGACTCATTTTCGTCTGCCTTCTCACACTTACGCTATGGTAAGAATGAATCCCTGCTAAAAAACCAAGACCTACTGACATTGATTGACAAAAGACAGTATGAGATGTTGATAAGTGGTCAATCTGAATAGCATCAAAGTGAAATAAAACAATATATTAAACTCATATATAAGAGACAGGAGGTGTTTGGACAAGAGAGTATCTGGGCATAATTTTCTGGTGATTTGGAGATGAGCTAGCAATAGCAAAACATACTGCAATGTTAGTCAATTCAAGGGAGAAGGATAAATCTGATAAACCCACCTTTGATTCTTCCGGAAGCAGACTCTGAGGTTGAGGTTAGCATGGAAGAGTTTATCAGAGAATCGCTATATGTAGAAGGGAAGAAAAGGAAACAGGATTGACGAGAGGGAGACGCTGGACTGTAATGCAGTCTGAACAGAGGCCTCAAAGGGAGCTCTAGAGCTAGGGTGGCTCTTCAGACTAGTCCCATGTTAGGGTGAGGGGACTGGGCCTTTAAACCTCTGAATCCATTTGTCATTGGATGCAGACTTCCTGCGGGGGTTGGGAAGAAGGAGGCATGACTTCAGGGATGGTACCTCTTTTCCACCTCGGGCAGCTCATCACTGTCCACTACAGCACCAGTGGAAAAAATATGTAGCCATCTTAGCAAGAGAAATGTTTACTATTCAACTGATTATTAAGACATAGGATTCAATAACACTAACACTAATATCAATAACTAGTATTTAACAGGGGTTTATTATGTGTAAGTACCATGCTATATGATAATATACTGTTTCATTTAGTTTTATAACTTTGTGACATAGGCATTGCTATCCTACACTTCAGTGAAGAAACTGAAGATCAGAGAGGTTGAATTACTGGCCCAGGGTCACTTATGGTACAGCCAGGATTTATGCTCAGGACTGGCTCCAGTGCTGTGTGTAAACCTTTATTCTCTACTGGAGCACACACAGTATATTACAGTGCTGAATATTGTTTGAGAAGATACCTGTCCAAGGAATACAGATTTGCATTCCTACTTAATGTGTGGTCTTATAAACAACATTTAAACAAGTTTCATGAGTTACTGTGTAAATGTTAACAATGTTTAGCAGTTTACAATTGCATTACTTTTAAAAGGAAAATGAGTAATAGTTAATGCTCGATTGACTATTAAAATCTTTATTTCATGACAAGAAGACCTGAAGTAGTATAACTAGGTACCTTTATAAAGCTAACAATGCCCCTGGAGCTCCGACCACGAGCATACACTCTTTCATGGGGAAATCCCATCCATTCAAATATTTCCAAATACACTGTCGATTGATTGGTATCATAAGCAGAATATTAGGCTAGAATAAAATAAGTAGAGTTTTCGATAATCAAAAGATAATGTACATTTATTGAGTCTAATCATGAAGGTCTCTTTTGATCATGTAACAGGTTTCCTAATCTTTGGGACAGAAATTACAGTTGTCTTTTGCTGGTTTGTTTTCACTTCTTTAGGTCTCTCTACATCAATCTTGTGGGACTCTGGGCAATCCTCACATGCTCAGTGTTTTGTGGGCTCGCCCTATATTCCAGGTACCATGACTGTGATCCTTGGACAGCCAAGAAAGTGTCTGCACCAGACCAGGTTCAGTACCATGTCTTTCTTACAGGTGTATTAATAATATTCAAAAAGCTTATTAGTTGAGAGGAAAGAGCATTCATATTCTTGTAGAGAAACGGAAAGTGGACATGCCATCATCATCTTACATTTCTATAAAACTTTGTTAAGAATTTATTTTAGCAGATATAGCAAGAATGAAGAGTACTGCATCTAAAATGAAAATATGGAAATACCAGGAAAAAATCAAGCAGAGTGTTAAATAGGAATAGCTCAAGGTTGGGAGTAGGAATGTGAACACAGTTTTTTGTTGTTGTTGTTGTTTGTTTGTTTGTTTTTTAAACTACACAAACCATTGTACTATAGAACATTTTGTGGGTGTTTGTTAGAGCATTCATTTATAAGCAATTTATCTTCCAATTTTTTAAATGATGGAGAGATGGATCCAATAAGTGAATATTTACTGAGTACCAACTATGTGGTGAGATTCTGTGCCAAGAGCTTAACATGCTTCATTTAATTCTCACAACCCTGCAATCCTGATTTTACAGATGAGGAAATGCTTCTCAGAGAGGTTATATAACTTACCCAAGGTCACATTGCTAATAAGTAAGAATAACTATGAGCAGTTATCAAATACCCACCATGGGCCAGGCACTACCATAATGCTTCATATAAATTTCAACTTTTAATCTTCACAGTCACCCTCTGATGTAGGTTCTATGATTATCTGCCTTTCAAAGATGAGAGAACTCAGGCCTAGAGAAGTTAAGTGAATAACTAGCTAGTAACCTGGAGCCAGGATTTAAAACCAAGCAAGCTGCCACCAGAGTCCTAACTTTGAACCTCTGTGCCATTTATTGTCTTTCAAAAAGGGGAACTAGAATTCAAACACAGGATTGCCCAACCCTAAAGCCTGAGTTCTTGCCAAAATTATTTTCTAAGACTCACTTGCGGAACAAGTTCCTAGGGGATTCATTAGAATGAAAATAGATTGAATTTCTGTTGATGCAAATGCATCTCATGCTCCCAGAAAAATACAACTTGGTGGGCCGAGAAAATAAAAACACCCTGGAGCTGTTTCTCAACCCTATCTTAACTTATGCCCTCCTTTTGATAAACACACCCTCTCTGTTCTCTCAGAGAAGGTAAGAATCACGTTTACTATGAAGATGGAGGCACACTTGTTACATCCCCTCTAATAAAGAATATTTTGTGACTGTTATCAATCTGTATTGTCTGTAGTTTGTATCATGAAGACAATAACGACTTTAAAAAAAAGTTTGTAATATACTTTGCCTTTACCCTGGGCCAAAAAAAAAAAAAAAAAAATCCCTACGGCTTCCTACCTTTGAGACATCTTGTAGAATACATTCAGGGTGTCTTGCTTGCATACGCTTAGAGAGTCCGTGAAGATTTCTCCCCAACTGATATATTTCCAGGACTGTGTTAGTTAACAAGTTAATTCAATTAACACTTCACTGGGGATACCATGCAAATAAGACAGTGGAAGATCGTGTCAAAACCTTATCCTCGCTCAGTCGTGGTGGCTCACGCCTGTAATCTTAACACTTGGGAAGGCTGAGGCAGGCAAATCACTTGAGGTCAGGAGTTCGAGACCAGCCTGGTCAACATGGTAAAATCCGTCTCTATTAAAAATACAAAAATTAGCCGGGCGTGGTGGTGGGTTCCCATAATCCCAGCTACACAGGAGGCTGAGGCAGGAGAATTGCTTGAACCTGGGAGGTGGAGATTGCAGTGAGCCGAGATCGAGCCACTGCACTCCAACCTGGGTGAGAGAGGGAGACTGCCTTAAAACAAACAAACAAAAAATACAAAAAAACCCCTTATCCTCAAGAGAGCAAGGATATGTTTCTCTATGCTCTGCTGGCATTTGCCCAGAGGAAGCAGGCCAGTTTCTAGATATAGTTTTACTATTTTCCTCTCCATCAATCCTATTTCATTGGTTCTACCTATACTTGAGGGGGCCACTCAGATACGAAATAATTACACCACAGATTTTTGAGAAAGTTGAAGATAGGATAGAGGATTTTGGACCTTTTTATAACACTATAGATGGAACCTACTTTTGCTATTTGTGGGACATTGTTTAAAGTTAAACCTTTATGATATCTTGGAAAAATTGGGTCTTGATCTCATATAGGGATAAATGCTATTCCGTTTTTCTGAGAATAAAGATTGAGTAAGCTTTGGAAAAGTGGAGAACACAGTCCTAAAAGAACTGAAACAATCCTAATGTTGAAACATTTCTTTTCAACAGTGGAGGAAGTTCTTCCATATCCCATGAGCACACTATTGTTAAATGAAATTGAAGAGGCTATGGAAGCCGATAAAATAGGACATGTCATCTACTCTGTACTGTGGGAGAAGTAATCAATAAGGTTTTAGTGCAAATGAGAGGACACTCTTCGAGAAAATTGTCCACTTAGGACTCTTTTGATTCGGAAACTGATTTTGTAGAAAAACTGCCATGCAACAGAGTCCTGAAGTCACACACTTGATTATCCTAATTTGATATTTATTTTTTAAAATATAAGTTATCAAAAAGCAAGTTAGTATCAGGAAGTTTTTTAACAGAAGCAAGTTTAAGGGATTTCCTGAAGTCATTCTCCACCCATCATTATGTCTCGTACCTGATGCACCTAAAATTACATCTTCTGTCCTGGGCAGTGACTGAAGTTCACAAAATGGCCTTGAGTCATCAAGTAAAGTTAAGTGGATGCTGCTTACTTAAGCACAGAGGTGTGTCAAATATTTCCTTAAAGACAACTTATTATTCTCAAGAATAGCAACTACTTTGTTTTGAGCATTTATTATATTCCATATACTATACTATGAGTTTTACATAAATTATCTAAATTAACTTTTACAGCAACTCTATGAGGTTAGTATTATTACAACTATTCTATAGATGAGGAAACTGAGGCTCAGAACTTCAGTTACAAAAGCCGTATCTGTGTGAATCCAAAGCCTCTTTACTTAACTACTGTGCTATTCGTTTCTCTAAGTGTTAGTAGTTAAACAGTTTAATTTTAGGTATTTGAAAATTTCATTTGTGTGGAATAACTCCTTTCAGTTCCCGAAGGAGACAAGACAAATGATAAACTAGGCATTCATTAATTTTATTCAGTAGCGAAAGTACTTGGAAATAAATTTTGGAATTTTTCAGCTCATGCCTTATTTGGTACTGGACATTCTGCAAGATTATCCAGGACTTCCTGGACTTTTTGTGGCCTGTGCTTACAGTGGGACATTAAGGTATGAACTATGACTCTAATAACATATGATTTCCCTGTTGGGATCTTTCTTTTATTATTAGATACTTTAGCGGGATAATGTGGAGTTCTGGGCACAGACACAGATGGCCCAAAGTAGGCAATCTGCTGTATGTGTCCTCTCTGTGGTCTGACTTATCTCTGTGGACTAGCGTCCTGTTGTCATCGGCTCCACTTTTAACTAGGTCCCTGCTCTCTAATACACCACCATACATCCTATGATGTGATACCTATGGTCACAATAATGACGATCGGTTGATGGTAGCTTTCACTGGTGATCAAAAATGGGTGCCACAGTCTTGATTGAAAACACACATGGGGCTGAAGCGTGGTCAACTGGAAAATTAGAATGAAATCTTCCATTTACATGTTGAATAATATATACTGCCCAAAGAATCTTACATTTTGTGATCTATCATTGCCCTTTCTCCTTGCGTTTGTTCCAGAGAATTGTTATTATCAACATGTACAGTGTGTGTTAGTGGGGATTCAGGAAATTAATATTGTTGATATTTACAGCACATGGTAGGGAGGACTTATGACAGTCCTTTCTATGCACAAAGAAAAATACATTTTAAAGTTGTTATGCATAGGAATACGGAGTAATCTATGTAGACTCTTTTAGACACTGAGGATTAACAGCAAGTGGAAGCAACATGAACATATCCTTTCTCTTTTACTGTCAAGCCTGTAGATATTGCCTGAATATCATTTTTGGATGATAACAGTTTCAAGAAAGACAGTGCTGTGATTATTAAAAATAGCATAGTAGAGCCTGGTGTAGTGGCTCACGCCTGTAATCCCAGCACTTTGGGAGGTCAAGGCGGGTGGATCATGAGGTCAGGAGATCGAGACCATCCTGGCTAACACAGTGAAACCCTGTCTCTACTAAAAATACAAAAAATTAGCCAGGCTTGTTGGCGGGCGCCTGTAGTCCCAGCTACTTGGGAGGCTGAGGCAGGAGAATGGCGTGAACCCGGGAGGCAGAGCTTGCAGTGAGTCGAGATCATGCCATTGCACTCCAGCCTGGGCGACAGAGCGAGACTCCGTCTCAAAAAAAAAAAAAAAAAAAAAAAAAAAAGCATAGTAGAAATCAGGTTATATTTTAGAAGTGACAATTTGTTTCCCCCTTTCTCATTCCCACTTAAAGTATTATTAAAGGTAAAATATTATAAATCAAAAGTTTTATTTTCCCTTACAGCACAGTGTCCTCCAGTATTAATGCCTTAGCAGCAGTAACTGTGGAAGATCTAATCAAACCTTACTTCAGATCGCTCTCAGAAAGGTCTCTGTCTTGGATTTCCCAAGGAATGAGTAAGTTTCTGTTTTCATAATTCCATTTTAGCTCAGAGAGATGATTTTTTGAGACACAAAAATTTCTTTTCCACTGAAGCTACAGAGGAAGGACCTCTGAATATGACTGGATATCCACATATGTATGCCTATGACAATGCAGATTTTTAAAAAATGTTTGTATCAATGTTTAATGTTACCATATCTGTAATCAAGATTTGGGAGACACTTCAAACAATTAATTGTCAGTGAACCACAAAGGACAATTTCCAGGGGACCGATTTAGCTGTCCTTTTTTCCTGTGCCTTCATCCTATCCTAAATTTGTGTTAAAATTCTTAGCCACACACACAAAAAATTCAACTATTTTCCTTTTCAACTGTAGTCCACAGTTCTAAGAAATATCCCTAGTTTGTAACCAAGAGCCACACTTTTTCTGTTACCTAAGAAGGCACTGTCAGTTTCAGTTATGTTGTCTTCCCATAAACACTTCCCAAATGTTTACAGAGGATTAGATTAAATTAGATTAATAGATTAGATGAATTGAAGATAAAGAAACAGAGTGTTATGAATTTTGACTCGTCTTAGTTGTCTGTTCTGTCTGCTTATGTACACTGTCCTGGAGATGAACTATAAATTTGTGCAAGAAATTCTCAACTTCTGTTCTGTTCAATCGTAGAGCCTCATTAGGGGTTAAATACCAGCTTGAATAGAGTGGTTTAAGCATCTTCAGTTCCCAGATGTCTCAAATGTAATATCCAACTCAAAGAAATCTTGCCAATGTACTGCATTCTTCATTTTGACACCTTGAAATGCATGACTAACAAATTCCTTTTCGAGAAAGAATCTTTAACCTCAACACAATAACATCAATAGACTGTCAAAGAAATAGTAAATTATACCCCATTAGTAGCCATAATTCTATGTAAAATTGCCACAACTGTAGCCTGAAATGAGTCCTTAATTTATATCCTTCAGTATTCCCTAAATTTAAATAGCAATGCATCATTTTATTATGTACCCAATTTTAATCCTGGAACATAATTTCAGAATGATGCAATGCTTCCTAAAGGGTTTTTAGACTGGTTCATTATGGGATTATTGAAGCTGTGTGGTTTAGTAGAATGAATAGATGAATAGATGCTTTTGAAGCCAGACAAACCCAGTCTTGCTTTGTTAATTTACTAGCTGTTAACCTTGAGAAAATCCAGTTACCCATACAAGCCTCTATTTCTCTATATAGGAAATGGGCACACAAATACTTTGCAGAATTGGGTTTTGAGATAATGCATATAAAACGGGAGGCACTGGCTGGTGCTCATGGAATGATGTTGATGAATGACAAATCAACTCTGCTAATATAGACGAGACTTTCATTCATTTTAAAGGGTACTATGAAATCACAATCTTGAAGTATATGCAGTAAGGACATAGAGAAGAATGTGGCAGATGATTTGAATGTGTTTCCAATAACTTTGAATTCCCAAAATTATAATGGTGACTATTCATAACCTATCAAATGGAGAATCAAACCAAATATATTGAAAATATTATTTACATTAAAATTGAGAGGCGTAAAAATCATAGCAATGAGAACTCTTCAAAAAAATCAATTTAAAATTTTTCATTCAGATGCATTATTTACTCAATACGTTTAACAAAGGTATGAATGCTAAAATAAAATAGAAATAACATAAGGAATACAAAAATTTTATGATGGACAAATTTCCCATTCATTTTTTTTCTGTATATTGAGTTTTGCATTTGGGAAATTATATCAACTGATTTCAGGTGACTTTTGCTGAATGGAAGTATTAAAACAAAGGGGGTTTTTTTGCATGATATTTCCTATAATTTAAAAGGTAATACATGTACCTGGAGAAAATTTAGAAAATACTGAAAGTCAATAGAAAAAAATATTCCACAATCTGACCACCAGTGGTGGTTTGAAAACTTTTATAAAGAAGTTTGGGCTGAGTGTGGTGGCTCACACCTGTAATCCTAGCACTTTGGGAGGCCAAGGTGGGAGGATCACTTGAGCCCAGGAGTTTGAGGCCAGCCTGGGCAACATAGCGACACCCCGTCTCTATGAAAAAAAAATTTTTTTAAAGAAGTCTGGGGAAAACAACTTAGCATTAGGGCAGATGTGCTACTTATCCAGAAGTTGCCTTTCTTTGCTAGTTTAATAGGAAGGGCTTGAGGATACTGATGGAGATTATGAGGGGGCTAAAAGTCGTCCAACACCCCATAGTGTCCATTGCCACTTCCCAAGGGAAATGAATGCTTAAAGTCAGAAGAGTCTAATTTCTGTTTATTACTCCTTCTCTCACCTTGTACAGAGCAGAGCTGAATAGTATTCTATTTTTGGCAAGCTGAAAACAGAGACCTGAGCCTTTCTTTATATACAAATGTTTATGGATGATTAGATTAATAACACAATATAGTTCTTAGTTTTAAATACCTATAGTTTATTCCAGGAACTCTTTACTTATATAACCTACTGTTGTAACTAATCCTGGGACACAATGTAAGGGCTTCGTCCTCTTGAAACACTGCTGATCCTAGAGGAAAATAGCCATTTCCTTTATTCACTGGCTCTGATGTGTGTGGCCATTCTTCACCACAGTCATATTATCCACTTTGAATCAAAGGTGTGGTGGATTATTCTATTGAGAATTCTAATTCTCTGGGTGTGGATTTTACACTGGCTTTTATGTTGTCCATTTAGGTGTGGTGTATGGAGCCCTGTGTATTGGAATGGCTGCGCTGGCGTCACTTATGGGAGCTTTGTTGCAGGTGAGAGCTGGCCCCTGGAGGTTTAAGTCATAAATCACTAAATCTTTTTTCAATGTTGATGTGACCATCCTTCCAGACTTCTCTCGATATATATCGACACCTGGACATATCAAGTGGCAGGGATGACTACACTTTTTAATTTTTTTTAATTAAACTTTGTGTTTTGAGATAATTGTGGATTTACATGCAATTGTGAGATATAATACAGAGAGATCTCATATACTCTTTACTCAGTTTCCCTCAGTGGTAACATCTTGCAGTGGTAACATCTTGATAGTACAATATCAAACTCATATATTGACATTGATATAGCCAAGATACAAAACATTTCTATCACTACAAGAATCCTTGCTGTTGCCCATTTGTAGCCACAACCACTTCCCTTCTGCCCCTACTCCCTCCTTAATCCCTGGCAACAACTAATCTGTTTTCCATTTCTATAATTTTACCAGGTCAAGAATGCTACATACATGGAATTACATAGAATGTAACCTTTTTCACTTGGCATAATTCCCTGGAGATTCATCCAGGTTGTTGCGTATGTCAATAATCTGTCCTGTTTTATTATCAGATAGTATTCTCTGGTAGGGATGTATCACAGTTTGTTTACCTACTCAGCTGATGAAGGACATCTAAATTGTTTCCAGTTTTTGAGTATTACAAACAAATCTGTTACAAACATTACATAAAGGTTTTTGTGTGAGCATAAGTCTTCATTTCCCTGGGATAACTACCCAGGAGTGCAACTGTCAGGTGACTGCTAAATGTCTACTTTTAAAAGAAACTGCCAAACTATTTTCCAGAGCATGTCATTTTTATATCACTAGCATAGACAAATGGCCCAGTTTAAACCTCATTCTTTCCAGCATTTAGTGGTGTCTTTTTTTTTATATTAGCCATTCTGATAGGCATATAGTGATATCTCATTGTAGTGTTAATTTGCATTTCCCTAATGGCTAATGATGTTGAAAATGTTTTTCAGCGACTTATTTTTCATCTATGTATCTTCTTTCATACATTATCTCATAATGTCTTTTGCTCATGTTCTAATTCAATTGTTTGCTTTTTTTACTGGTGAGTTTTGAGTGTTCTTTATGTATTCTGTATACTAGCTCTTGGTCAGATGTGGTTTACAAATATTTTCTTACACAGTAGTTTGTCTTTTTATCCTCATAACAGGGTCTGTCAAAGTGCATTTTTTTTTTTAGTTTGGATAAAGTCTAGTTTATCAATTTGTCCTTTCATGGATTGTGTTTCTGGTGTAAAGTCTAAGAACTTTACCTAGCCCCAGCTTTTGAAGATTTTCTTCTATGTTTCTTTTCAAAGAGTTTTAGAGTTTTACATTTTATATTTAAGTCTACAATCCCTTTGGAGTTAATTTTGTATAAAATGTGAGACTTAGGTTGACATTCTCTTTTCCTCTATGGATGTGCAACCAGCACCATTTGTTGAAAAGGCTTTCTTCCATTGACCTGCCTTTACACCTTCGTAAAACGTCCATTAGGCATATTTGTGTGAGTCTATTTCTGAATTCTCTGTTTTCTTTCATTTATTTATGTGTCTGTACTTCTGCCAATACCACACAGCTTTATAATTTGATTATTTTGATTACTGCAGCTTTAAAATAAGTTTCAAGATCAGGTCGATCGATTCCTCCCACTGTATTCTTATTTTTCGAAATTGTTTTAGCTATTCTAGTTCTTTTGCCTTTCCATATGAAGTCTAGGATAATCTTGTCTGTATCTACAAAAAAAATCTTGCTTAAATATTGATAGCCTGAAAGCTTTTTATCCATTTGAGAAGAAATGACATCTTTACCATGTTGAATTTTCTAAAACATGAACATGGTATGTCTCTTCATTTATTTAGCTTTTCTATGCAAATCGTATTTTTTATGTTGATGTCTATGTGTTCAATGCTAAAATGTAGAAATAAAATTGATGTGTTTATATTTATCTTCAATCTTGTGACCTTGCTGAGCTCACTTATTAGTTCTGATAATTTTTTGCTTCTTTGTTTTATGGTTTAGTTTGTTTTGTTATATTCCTTGAGATATTCTACATAAACAGTCTTGTCATCTTCGAATGGGGCAGTTTTATTTCTTTCCTTCTGATCTGTATGAATGCCTTTTATTTCCTTATTGCACTGGCTTCAACTTCCATATCATGTTGAATAGAAGTAGTGAGAGTGGAAATCCTTACCCAGTTCCCCAATGTGAACAGGAAACTCTCTATTCCTATTCTCTATTCCTATTTTTTTCTGAGAGTTTTCACCATAAATGGCAGTTGAATTTTTTCAAATGCTTTTTCTGTAATCAATTTATATGATCATGTGATCTTCTTCTTTAGCCTGCTTACAGGATGGATTACATTGATTGGTTTTTTAATGCAGAACCAGCCTTGCATACCGGGAATAAACCTTGTTTGGTCATGGTGTGTAGTTATTTTTATATATTGCTGAATTATATGTGCTAATATTTTATTAAGAATTTTTACATCTATGTTCATGAAGGATATTGATCTGTAGTGGTGTGTGTGTGTGCATGCATGCGTGTGTGTGTGTGTGTGTGTGTGTGTGTGTGTGTATATACTGCCTTTGGTTTTGATAGCAGGGTTATACTAGCTTCATAAAATAAATTGGGAAGGATTCTGTTTTCTATTTTCTAGGAGAGATTGTCTAAAATTAGTGCTAATTCTTCCTTAATTATTTGGTAGAATTCTCTAGGGAAAGCATCTGGGCCTGGATTTTTTTTAGTTTCAAAATTATGAATTTAATTTCCTTAATAGTTACAGAGCTATTCAAATTATCCATTTCATATTCGATGAATTGTGACAATTTATGTTTTTGAGGAATTGTTCCATTTTATCTAAGTTTGCAAATTTATACATGTATAGTTGTTCATAGTAGTTCTGTACTATCCTTTGGCATCTGCAGGACCTGTAGTGATAGCCCCTGTTCCATTCCTAATATTGGTAATTTGTATCTTATTTTTTTCAGTCTTGCTACAGGTTTGTCAATTTCATTGATGTTTTCAAAGAACCAGCTTCTTTTTTTCATTGATTTTTCTGTGTTGTTTTTCTGTTTTCACTCATTGATTTTTAACTTTTATCTTTATGATTTCTTTTCTCCTTGCTTTGAGTTTTAATTTGCTGTTTTCGAGGTGGGATCTTAGATTACTGATTTGAATCTTCTCCTCTTTTCTAATGTGTGCATTTATTGCTGAAAATTTCCTTCTTGGCACCAGTTTAGCTGTGTTCCACAACTTTTGACATCTTGTATGTTTGTTTACATTCAGCTGAATGTATTTTTATGTTTTCTTTGAGATATTCTTTTGATTTATGGATTATTTAGAAGTATGGTACTTAGTTTGCAAGTATTCAAAGATTTTCCTGTTATCTTTCTGTTATTGATTACTAGTTTGATTCTATTGTGATCAGAGAACACACTCTTTATGATTTCAGTACTTTTAAACTTGTTGAGGTCTGTTTTATAACCTAGGATATGGTATTTTGGTATATGTTCCATGAGCACTTGAAAAGAATGTGTATTCTTTTTTTATTAGGTAGAGTGTTCCATAAATATCAATTACATTCTGTTTGTTGATGGTTGCTGATTTTCTGTTTGGTTGTTTTATCAATTGTTGAGAGAGGGGTGGTGAATTCTTCAACTATAATTGTGTATTTGTCTATTTCCCTTTTAGTTCTATCAGTTTTTGCTTTGCTTCATGCATTGGGTCTTAATGAAGGATTAACCTTTTTGTTATTATATAATGTGCCTATCTGTCTCTGAGAAATTTTTTTGCTGTGAGGTGTATTTATTTTATATTAATATAGTTACTTCTACTTTCCATTGATTAATGGTTGCATAGTATATTTTTCCATTTTTTCACTTTGAACCACCTATGTTGCTATATTAGAAGTGAGTTTTTTTGTAGACAGCACACAGTTGAGTCTTTTTTAAAAATCCATCCTGTCAATCTCTGTCTTTTCATTGGTGTACTTAGACCATTCACATTTAATATAATTATTGGTATGTTATGTTAGGGCTTAAGAATCAGTTTTTAGTTGTCTGTTTGGTATTTCTGTTTTTTGTTTTCTGCCTTCCTGTGAGTTGTTCTGTGGTTCCTTCTTTCTACCATTTCCTTTCTGTTTAGAAAACTTCTTTTAGCCATTCTTTTAGTGTTCCTTCACCTGAGAATGTCTTGAGTTTCCCCTTTATCCCCAAAGGATATTTTTGTTGGGTATATGATTCTGAGTTGCTAGTATTTTTTCCCCAGGAGTTAAAAAAATATTTTTCTACTTTCTTTTTGTCTCTATCATTTCTGATGATAAATCTGCTACTATTCTAATTGTTTTCCCTTACAGGTAAGGAGTCATTTCTTTCTGAATGCTCTCAGGTTTTTTTGTTTTGTTTTGTTTTGTTTTTTCTTTAGTTTTCAGAAGTTTAATTATGATGTATCTTGGTGTGTATTTCCTTGTTTTGAGTTTTTGATGTGTCTTGGCACGTGTTTCTTTCTTTTCCTATGTTTTTAGGGTTACTCAGCTTCTTGAATCTTGAATCAGCTTCTTTCATAAGTCTGAAAGAGATTTATGTCTCTTATCAAATTTGAGAAGTTCAGACATTAATTCTTTGAGTACTTTTCCACCCCATCTTCTTTCTCTTTTCCTCTGGGACTCTCATGACATGAATGTTAAATATTTTTGTTATAGTTCTACAGATCCCTGAAGTTTATTTTATATTTCTTCATTTCATTTCTCTCTATTGTTCAGTTTGGGTTATTTCTGTTGTTCTGTCATTCAGTTCACCGATCTTTTTCTCTGTTCCTTCTATACTGCTATTGTGCCCATTCATTTAAAATTTTTTATTTCAGTTATTGTATTTGTTCAGAGTAACAGTTTCATTTGGTTCTTCCTAATATCTTCTTTTTTTCCCTGAGATTTTTCTCTCTATATATATTTTTTCCCTCTATTTTTTCATTAGTTTCAAGTGAATTCTAATTGTTAAAGCATTTTTTAAATCATGGCTGTTTTAAATTTTTTATCAAATAATTCTGTTTCTGTAATCTTTATATTTAGTTTGAGATCTTCCTGGTTCTTTCTATGAAAAGTTAATTTCTGTTGAAACCTGGGCATTTCAATATTATGTGATGAAACTTTGAATCTTACCTTCTGTTTTAGCCAGCTTTCTCTGACACTACGTCAGTAGCGTAAGGGAGGGTGCCGCCTCATTACTTCAGGTGGAGGTAGAAGTCCAGAGGGAGGAGCTCCTTGTTATGCTGGATAGGGGTGTGTAGAATACTATGAGACATATTGTGGCTATAAGATTAATGATAGTGCATGAGGCCCACTGAAATATCTTGCAGGGCTGATACTACATGTCATGTAGGAATTTACAACCCTGGCTCAGGGATTTCCAGGAAAAAAAAGCCACCTCAGCACAGATGCAGCTTTCATAAACCTTAGAACAAAGCTTACTTTTACAATAATAGCTTAAATACCCTTTATGAAAGAAACAGCTGGTAACTAACCTGGACTAAATACAGGTATAAGAAAGGGAGAAGGACCCCCAAAGTCTGACAATGGTCTCTGGATGAAGACTCTCTGGTCAGTTCATGATCTGACCCCCTGACTGTATCTGGCCCATGACACCAGCTTATTCTCACTATCCATCTTCTAAGAGTGCTGCCAGAATAAACCGATTGAGCATTAGATGGTGCCTAAGACTCATCTTTGATGTGAAGTGAACAGAAAAGGAGACATCGCCCCTGGGGAAGCTGGTTAACTAGGTCCACCTACAACCTCTGAACACAACTGGCATTGAGGATAGGATAAGTAAGTGAGCAAGTAAGTAATGGCACCCATTTCTAAGGAAGGACTGGGAAAGGGTGACTGGGGACTGGTTCTGATCAAGAAGTCAAATGAAGCCCTCCGGAACACTCCGTAGTGTGTCTGGTAGTTTTTATTTTACTTTGTGGCCTGTTGCTGCCTTCTACATACTTTGTCTGTGCCTCTGTTGTGAAATTGCCACCATGAAAAACCTGCCAAAATTATTCTTAAGACCACTCTGGTCCCCAGTAACTGGGGACAGGCTCTAAGGAGGAGGAAGCAGAGGTGGAGGATGCCCCGGCTTGAAGAGCTAACCACTGGCTGGTGTGTCTCTGGCTCCTGCTGTGGGAGGGTTGCTCCTTGCCCCCAAGGATCTTGGCACTGTGATGCCACAGACCAAGAAGGCAAAGGTGAAGCTTACCTGCTGAAGGGTTATGTGCTGTTGCCCACCAGCTAGGGACTTAGAAGCATATTTCCCAATAGATCCTTGGACTAACACCACCAGTGAAGTCCACAAGAATCATCAAAGGGCATGTCGCAGCTGTTCCCAGCCCACCATGCACTCCAGCTGAGACAGTGTGGCTTCTCAAGGGGTGTGCCCCAGCCTGTGATGTCTGCTGAGTGTTGCTGGCAGCAGCCCATAGGCAACATGCCCAAGTCACGCGGGCTCACCTCAGAGTCGTGTCATTCTGCCTGGTCGATCCAGAGCCCTGTGAGCTGTGGAATGATGATCCTGGGTGTGCTGGCTTACCGCTGGCCACACCACAGGTGTCACCAGTCATCACTTGGGCTGAGAAAGCTGCTGCCACCTCCACAGCTGGCTGAGATGAGGAAGTGTGTCCTAGACACCATATGGTCCATGAAGAGGTTCACCCCTAATGTGGACAGAAATTCAAAGCCTGCTCAAAGACCTGGTGCAGGAACCCAAAGAGAAAGGCACCACCTGGCTGTGCTGTGTGTACCTGAGAGGAAGTGCTTTGCAACTCATAGGCCGAGAAATACAAATACAGCAGCCAGCGGCTATCTTTAAAGATAATAAGATCATTTCCTTATTTCAAGACCCTGTTGAGCTTATCCAGGCACAGAGTAGAGTGGGTAGACATAACTGTCCCTGCAGTCCGCTGCAGTGGCTATTCAGGCCTGGCAAATAGCACCCCCAGAATGAGCCTCTTTTCATCAAGGGCTGAAGGTGGCTGGTGCACACTGAGGAAGAAGGGGAGCCACTGTGGCGCTTAGGCATGCTCCAGTGAGTTTGCACAGCCGCCACTCCCATGGGACAGGGGCACAACTGGGAGACCTTGGAACAGACCACCTTGCACCCGGATGGTTTACAGATGTTTTTAAGGAGAGCCCATCATAAGCCAAACCAACTCTCCTGGCCCTGATGGCCACAGTCCCTGAAGTTAATTGAGCTCTGTAGGTCCTCATCACCCTGGAAAATGCTGAAGAATAGCTAAGAATCCCTAAGAAAACTTAGGGAACTCACCCTATACCACTCTTCAGGTCCAGGGTCCCTAGCGGGCTGCCTTCTTTGCACCTTTCAGACAGAACCATCCAACAGTGTTCACAACAGCACCTCGCTCCCTACCCACCACACAGGACCTTGCAGCCAGAGGTCTCACACTGGGCTCTGCTCTCCCTGGCCTTCTCACACCCCTCACCCACGGGATGAGGCCCAGTCCAGCTGTTCACAAGGGCAGAGTGACCTCTACTGGCAGATACGCTGAAGGGTGCTTCCAAATTGGCTCCTGTCTGGCAAGCCTCATGAATTCCTGCAAACTCTCCTTAATACCAATGTCGTCCAGTCATCCCACCCACTGACCTACCACCCATCTGGATGGCTGAGCATCAACTTCCACCTTTGGGAAGATGTCTTCACTGCTAACATTCCTGCCCTGTGTCCAGGATGACCCACCTGGACTGTCCCACCCACCCTACCTATATCCCTCCCTGGCAAGACCTTTACTGGTATATTTGCCTAGGGGTCTCTTGGGCCACCACTGTTCCTGCAGCCAGTGCCTCCTAGAGACACTTGGTGCCCCAGCTGTGCCTGACAGCCATCTGGAATGGACAACACCTTGAACTTTGGCTTCATCGGGCCGTGTTCAAGATCACGATTTTGGATCTTTGACAGCACCTCAGCACACACAGTGTCCCCAGACCTAATTGCTTAGTTCTGTGTCCTCCTTATCCTTCTGTTCCATTTTCACCTGTCATTGCTCTGTAATCAAGCAACTCTAAGCCTGCTACCACTGAGTCCATTCAACTCCTTTCACCTGCTCATGTAATCGTGTTTCCAAGCCCCAGTGTGCCCGTGTTCTTTTGCTGCTACTCCGGGTGGCCTGACTTTCCACATCCAACTGTGGCTTCTCCAGACCTATTCACCAATTACTTGGCACTGAGGTCACTGACAGCCTCCACCACATTTTGGCCACCCACTGAGCAGCTAACCTTCCAGCCTGCTGGGCATGCCTTCATTGGCCTGCCACACATCCATTGCTTCCCGTCCAGACTTGGTCGCTACCTGTCCTCCACTCTTCCCCCATCATTGGCGAGTCTGCCCCAAAGCCACAGCCGAACCCCATTCTCATGATCTCCCCTAACTGCTCAGCTGGACACTAGATCTACTGTATCCTCTCTGTGATGATACAGTTCATTTCCAGGTTTTTCCAAGGGCGCCACCAACTCCTACTCACCGTCCTACAGAAGATCCATTTCTCAAGATTTGACTGACCATGGAGCGCACTTTCAAACTTGGGCAGCCTCTCAATTATTGACCCCCTCAGGGTCAGGGGTGGAGTGTGGTATACAATGAGATATATTATGGCTATAAGATTAATGATAGGCATAAGGCCACTCAAGCAACTCAGAGGGTCAGTCCTATCTGTCAAACTTAGCAGTATGAAGCAACCTGGCCGGGGATTTCCAACCAGATTTCCAGGAGACCAGGTCACCTCAGCACGATGCAATTTTCACAAACCTTGGAACAAAGCTTACCCTTACAAGCATAGCTTAATCTCTCTTTGTGAACAAAACACCTGGTAACTGACCTGGATTGAATACAAGTATAAGAAAGGAGGAAGGATCCCCTAAACTCTGAGAAAGGTCTCTAGATGAAAACCCTCCTGGTCTGTCAGTCATCTAACCTGTGACTAAATCTGGCCCACGACACCATCCTGCTCCTGCTATTCTTCTGGTAAGAGCACTGCCAGAATAAAATGCATGAGCATCAGACGGTGTACAAGACTCAACAATGATGCAAAGCGAACTCAAGGGAAGAGGCTTCCCTGGGAAGCTGGTTAACTAGGACCACCCGAAACACGCGAGCACCACAGGGTGGAATTCACTGACATCATGGAGGAGGTGGCTTTGTCACTGCTGGGCCATGGTGAAAGTCCCGATTCTCCACTAGGCCTCCCATGTCATTGCCAGCAGGGAGGCAAAGGGTGCCTGGTGACAGTCTGGGGGGATGGAATCTAGGCTGGCATGGGTGTGGGTGGGGTGAACAGATTATTCTGTGGTGTTCGGATGGAATGGAGCGGTTGGGGTCTAAGAGTTTTCTATCTTCCTAGGCTGCTCCTTTCCTGGCCCTGTGTCTAGAGAGAGAACAGGATTTTGTGAGGGCTTTTTATCTTTTTAAAGTTTTTTTGCCTGTGTCTGTTGCCATTTCCAGGCTGGCTGGCTTCTTCAGTTCTCAGGCTGGGATACATGAAGCAAAAAGAAAACTTAGGGAACTCACCCTGTACCATTCTTCAGGTCCAGGGTCCCTAGCGGGCTGCCTTCTTTGCACCTTTCAGAGTCTTCTTATGTTTATTTTATATGGAATGTCAGGATTTTTAATTTTATTAGTAGGAGGAATAGAGAAACATATGTTTATCTTCTCAGAAGTAGAAATACTTCATTAAAAAAAATTTGTTTATTTACCTGAAGGGTCTTTCACCTCCTGTGGCGTTTGCTCTTCTGATTAGAGAGCATTTTTGTGTTGGAAAGCTCCCTCCTGTTCCTGTGGAGCTGTGGGCCTGGAGAGGACAGACCAATCTTTACAACAGTGTCTTCTTCCTGAACCCTGTGGGCACCTCACTGTCTTCAACACGCAGGCCTTGGCATAGACTTCTCCCTCTGCCTGCAACACCTTCCTCTCTACCTCGTCCACTGCCTAAGCCTTAGTTATTCTTCAGTTTTCATTTTAACACATTACTTATTTAAAGAGACTTTTCCTATTACCTGGATACATTTGCATTCCCTTCTGCTAAATGTTTCTAGAAGCACCTTGTACTTTCTTTATCATCTCCATTATCAAACTGTATTACAGTTATTTATTTAGTGTCTGTTTTACTGAATAGCCTGTAATTCATGAAGGTGGGGAAGATGACTTCGTTGTTCAATCCTGTATCAAATATCTGGTTCCTACTGCAGTGCCCAGGACAAAGCAAGACATTAACAACTTTAGCTTGAATATTAACTAATAATGTAGTTAGGCTCATAAATATCCTATTATCTGATGACCCCAAGTGCTCCCTGAAATTTCCTTGGCCACTTGGGCTGCTCCTCTGGGATCCTGGACCTCCCCTTGACCTAGAAACTTAAAGGCTAGTACTGGCACAGCAGGGGTCCTCCAGGATCTTTCTTCAGTCCTAAGGCTTGGGGCCATTCTGGTTGGTTGTTGTTTAGGACATAGCAGTTGTAAAATAGTTTGACCCCATCCCTGATTATATGAATGAATGAATTAGATCCAGAAGCTCCAAGCCTGCCCAGCACTCCTAAACCACAGCCAGTCATACAGAATTTGCTTTCTTCATAGTCTGCATTAGTGCCTGGAGCTCTTATTGTGGTTGATTCCCCTTTTTCCATATATCAGCTATGGCCTGATTATATACAATGACATGTTCTAGCAAAGTCATCATAACTCCAAGCCAGTTCATCCTTGCTTCATCTCTAGCCAAGGTCTTATTTCCTCTTGTAATCTTTTTTGGGTGTCTTTGTTATGTCTCCAAAACTGCTCACAGATCACACAGTCATCACTTGCTTTGTGGGTCATATGACGTCTTGCAGTGAAGTCTATCTCCCTTCTGACTGGACTGTGTGTAAACTGACTCAGGATCACATCCTTGAGTCCGCATCCTTTTAAACACTAGTTCTCCTCTCTACTCAGTACCACATCCTTTTCTTCTTCCATGAAGTAGGCCTATTTAAAACAACAACGACAACAAGAAGCACTATTTCCTCTAATATTTCCCTGACTTGGTATTTTCTCTTTGATTCATTCATTCTGCTCTATTAAACCCCTTTACTCTCTGGACAAACCAGTGATTCCCTGCTCTTCTTTTATGGTTGTGTCCATTCTTAAGAACTGGGCATTAGATTATTGGGAACGTATATCTCTTGGAAGCTTCATTTAGTTGCTTTGCCTCATGCGATGTTTGCACTGTAAATCTTTTTTACTATCATGGATTTGATATCTCTACATCAAAGCAAAGGTTGCAGTTATCTAATTAGATTTTAAATCTATTTCTACATGATTTGATCAGTCTTTTTAAAATCGTATTTCTCATTCTAGTTTCATCCTTAGGGAATCAAATCAGGAATGGCAAATGGGTTTCATCCTCCTCTCTGGTCACATAGCAGTACTCGTCCACCGTTATGAGAGGATTTTGAGATTATCAAAGCACAAAGGAGTGCTGTGATTTATAAACACCTGCAAGAGCAATGCTAAGAGGAGAGGTATCATTCATGATTTATACATTCACATAGGCACTACCATTGTCGCAGACCTCTCTATCTTCTTTGTGTTGTGTGGCCTTTTTTGAGGCTACTTGCAGAAACAGATGGATCCTTGAGACTGAGATGCAGAAACTTGTAAGTTCTAATGACTTCTTTTCCAGTGATAAGGCTATCATGACTGAAACTATGATTTTCAGAAGGAGGCCGAATACTTTAAGTCATTATCCTGATGAAATGACTTTGAAATATTTGAGTTTCGATTTGAGATTGCTAATTGCTGACGTTGTATTATTTTTGTAGGCAGCACTCAGCGTATTTGGTATGGTTGGTGGACCACTTATGGGCCTGTTCGCTTTGGGCATTTTGGTTCCCTTTGCCAACTCAATTGTAAGTACAAAGAATGAATATGCTTGAGGATTACTTTTTGAACTATACTAGCAGCTCTACACTTTTTTCTCAGTTGGTTCCTTTGAGATTTGTCATTAGCTACTTGTCTTGATGACTTAAATTATTTCTGTTGACTTTGGTGGAGTGTACAAGGAAGTACTATGTATGGGGACCCTAAATGTGTGAAGCTCAATGGAAACTTCCAGAACCATATAGGGCAATTTTAAATATTCATAATATAACTAAAGGAGCAACATTTTTATGCACGTACCTACTTGCCCTTCTCAAAAATTAATAGCTAGGATTTAAAAGAGATCAATAGGCTCAGAGATGAGAGATTTAAGGGCAGAAAACTTAGGATTTCTGTGAATAGCCATAGCACAGCAAAGAGAAGGAACACAATCTTACCACCTTGGCCAGGAATTTTCTACTCCTGACATTTAAAGCTGTAGCTCCCACAACATGATTTAGCCCCAAAGGGGTGATCATAATTGGGAATATTTTCCAGAAAGACGTAATATCTCTGTCCTTCTACCTAGACATATCTGTGCTTAGAAGTGCTAACTTTTGTTTGGAATAAATGAGCTAGAAATTATTTCTCTGAAACCCAGAAGAAAGTCCACTGGTTCAGTCTGGCTATAAGATGTAGTTCAGGAAAAACTGATAATGTATGTGCAGTCGCTTCAGATATAGAATAGCCATAGAACTCTGACTTCACATTTGGAATTCTATTTTCCTTATAAGGCATTAGGAATTGGTAAGGCAGATATTAATAAGGACTATTGTGGTTATTATTTATTATCCTCAATGAAATGTCATATGAAAAGCTGCTTTTGTAGGAATTAATCACAATGAAAGAGATTTGTTTGTGTCCACCTCAGAATGTTGAAGCTTGGATTAGATTCTTTGCGTGATGAAATGCATTAGTTTGTTAAGTATTAGAAAAATGTATTTAAAAATCAACTTTTGATATTTGGCATTTGTTGCCAGCGTGTATTTCCTCCGGAAGAGCTGTAGCTGACTAAGCTAACATGTCCTTTTCTGGGGGCGGTAACGGAAGAATAACATACTATTCTTCCTGCCATAAACAGTATCTTTTTTTTTTTTAAACCATGTCCAGGTTTTTCACCAGCAGATTATCTGCCTTCCTTAAAAGTGGCCTTTCTCACTCCTTTTTCTCTCCCTGCCTCAATACCTTTCATTCATTTATTCACTTGTTCATTTATTCAATAGATTTTTATGGGCTGAGCACTATCTTGGGAGGAGAGAGCGTTGAATGTTTCTGCCCTTGTGAGTTTTATAATTTCGTGCCATGTTGAACTTGGCTTTCTAATATTAATTTTGACATCAAAGCAAATTGTATTATTTTTCTTTTAAAGGCATTCTTGTTTTACAGGGAGCACTTGTTGGTCTGATGGCTGGATTTGCCATTTCTCTATGGGTTGGAATTGGAGCTCAAATATATCCTCCACTTCCTGAGAGAACATTGCCATTGCACCTTGATATCCAAGGCTGTAACAGCACCTACAATGAGACAAATTTGATGACAACCACAGAAATGCCATTTACTACTAGTGTTTTTCAAATATACAATGTTCAAAGGTATTGAATTAAGTTTTATTACATTATACTTTAAAAAATTTACGCAACAAGTAGAGAACCCCACTTGCTTTTTGTCTTGCTTACAACACTGTGATTTTGCCTAATTCTGAAATGAGTAAAACCCATGTGGTTAGCTATAGTATTTTCTGCAGCGGTAACAAAAAATGTCATATTTTCATAATTTCTCTAGAAATTTCTGCCTTGTCTACAGATCTAAGAAAACTTAAATATTAATGAGAAACTTCTGTTATGTGTAAACTCTCCTAAACACCAGCTCTTAGCTGCATGAAGAATTATCTTTGTCTTGGAAAAACTTTTAAAATGGAAAGCACAATTATAGAATAAATATTGCTTATATAGTCTTAGAAAGATAGATTTTACTGACCAAAAGCTACAATTATTTAAACATGTTAAATAACTGCCATTTGTTCAGTTGAAGATTCCAAATCTTTAAAGCATTAGAAGTGATTGCAGCTGTGATCTTCATGCTACAGATTTCAGTCATGCAGTACACTTTGGAGCCTCTAAATGCTGAAGTTGTCTGATTTAACGTACTGAAATAGTGGGTAGAGGCATGCTTTATTGTACAGTGAATGTGAGGTCAAGACTTTCTTTAGTGGATATATAAGTGTCCAGCTTTAAAGCACAAACCCTGTGAATACGTTCAAGGAATGCAAAGATGATGCCATTGCCCCTAGAGTATTGCCCCAGTGCCAGCTTATCTGGAATGACATCAATATAGTCATACCTTTGGGGTCAAGACACGGCATACCCCTCTTAAAATGGACACACTCCTGAGAGAAGGAACGTGATCATACATATAGCCATTATTAGCAATTTGTGTTCTGGAGAGAATTCAGCTATGAGAAAGCTAGCCAGTGGGACTTCCAGGGGCGTTCCAGGCAGGTAAGCTGTGTATGGTAGAGTGGAAAGGTAGTTCCAGAGCCTGAGGCGTATTTGAGGGAAGTTTTACTAGGTGAGGTGCTGTGGAGAGAGGGGCAAGGACATGTGGAGAGCAGTCTGGACAGGCATGAAAGCACTAATGGGAGGGGACTGGGAGAGTCATCAGAGTCAGAAAGGGAGAAAAGATTAATTGAAGGTTAAGTGAGAAGACACAGGATGTTCTTCTTGTTTTATGATTTTGCTTAGCGTTTTCCTAATTATGTAAATATTTGCCCTTAAAAGTCTAAGGCAAAATGGTTATTTGGATTCCTGAAACAAATAAATTAGCTGAAGTTTATTCTATGCCTGGTACCATAATAGTTTTATATGTTAGTTTACTTATCAAATATTTCAGCTAATAAACAAGAATTTTTGAGCATGGACTATGTACCCAGCACTGTGCTGGCCATTTATTTAGTATCCATGGAAGAAAATCTTCCTCTCCCAGCCACTGTTTCCTGCCTTCCAGAAAATTCTAATCTAGCAGGAGGGAATGTGCAAATATACGCAAAACAATAAACTCAGTAAGCATGCTAAGTATAAAAACTAAGACATAGTAAATAAAAAATACTTGATACATTTTTGTTAAAAGAGTGAGTACAAAGTTGGAGTGTAAGTTAGCATGAAGACTTCAGAGATATACTACTACTTCAAGAATGCATAGGTTTGGCTAGATGAAGGGGAAGATCTGGAAAGTCATTCTTGTCACAGAAAATGACCAGAAGGGAAATTGGACAAGAAAATAAATTAAAACATGCATTGTGGTAAGTAATATTCACAGGATATCATGGGAGCCAGAAGGAGGAAGTCTGCCTGACTGGAGTCAAGGAAACCTTCTTAGAGGAGAATTGCATGGGCTGGAGTTAGTCAGGTAGCAGGATTGAGCACAGGGACACAATCTGTATCGCAAGGAAGGAGGAGTGTGTGTCGCAGAATGAAGAAACGACCGGTGCAAAAGCATGAAGGACTGAAGAATCAGGGCATCTTAGGAAATCATCCTAGTTCCATAGGGCTGGAGCACAAGGGTTGTGAGCCACCCAGCTGAAGGTTGAATGTGTGATGCTTTGGTTGCCTAGATACAAATTGTTTCAATTGCCTAGATTCAGTTTTGATTTTTTTAAGTTTACAATATTTGATGGTTACATTGGTAGCTTGCTGTGGTTTTAATTTGTATTTCCCTTAAGATTAATGAAGTCAAATACATTTTCATTTGTTTGTTGGCCATTTGGATATTTACTTTTGCGACTTAGTTATTGAAGTCTTTAGTCCATCTGAAATGGATTCTCTGTCTTTTTCTTACTTACATAGAAGTTCATGACATATTCTAGATATGAGATATGTTTTGAAAATGTTTCTCTCCCATTCTATGGGTTACCTTTTTACTCTTTTAATGATACTTTTTTTGTCAGTCAAAATTTCTTAATTTTAATTTATTTCTGTTTCTCAGTTTTTTCCTATATGGTTAGTCCTTTATGTGTCTTGTTTAAGAAATCCTTGTCTACCCTGCAATCATAAAGATATTCCACTAATTTTTTATTTAAAAGCTTTATTGTTAACCATTTCCATTGAGGAAGTGTAATCCACTTTGGAATTGATTTCTGTGGGTGGTGTGATCAAGATTATTTTTCCCCATGTGGATACTCAGTTAACTAAACACCATTTATTGAAAAGACTCCCCTTTTGCCCCATTGAATGCACTGGCGATGAAAACGATGTTAACCAAGTAACTATTTTTCTGTGGGTCTATTTCTCAATTCTCTACTCTGTTCTATTTTGTCTGTCTTTGGCTCAATATCACACTCTCTTAATTTCATTAGCTCAACTCAATGTGTTCCCCTCCTTTCTGGGTTCTTGTCACCTCAAGTTCTCATTGTTTTGTTTTTGTTTTTGTTTGAGACGGAGTCTCAGTCTGTTGCCCAGGCTCGAGTTCAATGCAACCTCCACCTCTGGGTTCAAGTGATTTTTGTGCCTCAGCCTCCCAAGTAGCTGGGATTACAGGCATGTGCCACCACACCTGGCCAATTTTTGTATCTTTAGTAGAGATGGGGTTTCACCAGGTTGGCCAGACTGGTCTTGAACTCCTGACCTCAGGTTATCCACCTGCCTTGGTCTCCCAAAGTGCTGGGATTATAGGTGTGTGCCACCACCCCAGCCAAGTTCTCATTGTCTTGATCTCTCTGATAGCTTCAAAAACCTGCCTCCCTCCCCATGCCCCAGGTTTTATATATTGTTCTCAGCAGAATGATTGTTCTAAATCAAGCAGCTATCAAAACTGAAAGTGGAATCCTAGAGCAATCATTGTAGAAATGATCATAGAATGTTCATGTTACTCTTTCACTTAAAACATTGCAATGAGTGCCATTGCCTGTAGAGTAAAATTCCAACTCATGCCTGGTCCCACAAAAAGCCCCCTGCCTATCTTTCATCTTGTAATCACTGTCTTGCTCACTGTGCCTCAGTCAGCTGGTGTTTAGTCTCTGTTTTCCTCAAGAACATTTTGTTTCTCAGATCTCAGTTCAAATGTCATTTATTCCCAAAGGTTTTCTCTGACCACTTGTAGTGTAGTTCCTCCCTCTTCACCCTGTTAATAGCACATCATCTTGTTTTACTTTCCTTACAGCACTTTCTACTAGTGGAAATTATTATATTTATTAATTTGTTTATTGTATTTATCTCTCCATTAGAGTATAAACTATATGTTAGCAGGAATCTTATCTACTTTATTTTTAAAAAATAATTTCAACTTTTATTTTAGATACCTGTGCAGGTTTCTTACTTGGGTAAACTCTTGCCTGTCTCCCTTCACCCTCTGGTAGTCCCCAGTGTCTATTGTTCCCTTCTTTGTGTCCATAAGTAACCAACATTTAGCTCCTACTTATAAGTGAGAACATGTGGTATTTGGTTTTCTGTGCCTGCATTAATTTGCTTGGATAATGGCCTCCAGCTGCATCCATGTTGCTGAAAAGGACATGATTTTGTTCTTTTTTCATGGCTGCATGGTATTCCATGGTGTATATGTACCACATTTTCTTTATCCAGTCCACCATTGATGGGCACCTAGGTTGATTGCATGTCTTTGCTGTTGGGAATAGTGCTGCGATGAACATATAAGTGCACGTGTCTTTTTGGTAGAACAATTTATTTTCCTTTGGATGTATACCCAGTAGTGGGATTGCTGGGTCAAATGGTTTATCTACCTTATTTATGGCTGACTGTCCAATCACAAGAGCAGTGCCTGGGACATCATGCAGAATTGAATGAATAAACATGACCTTCAAGTATTTTAGTATATAGTCAAGGTGAAGTTTTGCTTTCAATTCCTGATCTGATAAGATAAAATTAGGACAGCAGGTTATGACATTAAAAACATTATTAAGTGTTATATTTTGACCTTGCCATGGGAATCACTGGTATATACTGGTAGTTGCTAGTGGCATTACATGAAATCTTACCGTTGTGTTTTTGCTCTCTTAGGACTCCACTGATGGATAACTGGTATTCTTTATCATATCTGTACTTCAGCACTGTTGGAACTTTGGTAACATTATTAGTGGGGATACTTGTCAGTTTATCAACAGGTAACTATCTAAACATTAGTATTGTTGTATTTACCTCTATATCAGTTTTTACTGTATCTGTTTTATAGCTATTTATGTTATTTTACTATGATCCTATTGCCAACTAGTTTAATTATTTCTTCTGTTTTACTCATGGGAAATCTGAAGGCCTAGACTTGAAAGCAGAAGACTCATTTCTATTTGAATCTTGGTTCTGCCCTTTAGGGGCTGCATGAACTTGGGCAAGTCACATAGCTACACTGAGCCTCAGCTTTCTTATGTATAAAATGAGGACAATAATAATCGACCTGCCCATCTCACAAGTTGCTGTAAGACAAAAATAAGATGCTTGAAAAGAACTTCATAACTGCTATGATGTTAGGGATTTTACACATATTTTTATAATAACCCAATATGCTGTGATCTTTACATGGTCCAGTATTCATTCTTTGTGAACTGTAAAGAAGCATACACAGGTTATATCTAAACATAGTGTGGAGGCTTTTTTTTCAGATATTTATCATTTTTTAAAAAGTGTGTTCATTTTTAAAAAATCAAATTGATACACATAGTATATAAATTGCTCTCTGGGATTGCTATAGAACGGTTATCTTGGGACTCCATTTTGTCCTCATTCTATGAATTCTCTTAGCCCCTGTTCCTGTGTTGGGTTTTCTACTGCCTATATTCATTACTTCTCATTCTCATTTACTCCCTTAATTGAATGAAACACATCCTATAGCATATTCTCAAGAAAGAGTAGACAAAAGAAGAGGTTTTGGAAACTTTGTGTGTCTGAAAAAAAATTATTTAATCTATCTTATGCTTGATTGATTGTTTGAGTAGAAATTGCTAGGGTTGAAAAGAACTTTTCTTTTTTCTGAGAGGATGTCTGAATTTTTTTCTAGCTTGCTATGTTGCTGTTGTGACAGCGCTCTGCTACCAGCTGACACTTTGTGTGTGTCCCATTTTCACAATGACTGCCTTGGCCTAGGCCTTCAGTAGGGCCCATTCAATCTGAAGATCCATGCCCTTCAGTTCTGGACATTTTCTTTTTTGTTTTCTTTTCTTCCTTTTTATTTCTATTTTTAATAATTTTCTGTGTTCTCTCTCTGAGAACTCCTATTAGTCAAACATTTGAATCAGAATCATGGACAGTTCCTCTAATTTTCTCGTTTTTTTCTCTCTTATTTTTCCTCTCCGTGTCTTTTAGGTCTACTATGTGAGATATTTTTTCACTTACTTTTCCAATAATTCTCAAAGGAGTGCTCTGATCCAATTTTGAGAATAGTCTGTAGGGGAACGAGGGCAGGGAAGAGGCTATTGCAGTAACCCAGGTGAGAGATCACAGTGCTGGGGCCGGGGTAGTGCGGAGTTGGTGAAACATGCTGGGCTCCCTGACTCCCTACATCCCCTCACATGTATGCATCCATAGCAGCCACGCCAGGGGAAGGGTGCAACTGCCTCCTTCAACATGTGTTACAACTAGTTGTGTTCAAGGATGTCTGATGTCTTTGTTTGCTCCATGCTACAAAGCTGCCAGCACTGTGCCACTTTACAGAATCCTGCTATCATTTTCTGTTTTTTGGCACTGAGATAGCACTGTCTCTCAAACTTCTGTGACACTTGTATTTATAATTATAAAATTTGTTGCTATTCATTATTTCTCAGTTGTTGGAAAATATTCTTTCTTTTCCAAAAGGACTGTGCTCTTTCTCAAAAATAAAATTCCCAGTACAGTAGGTTTATTAATTTGTTTGGTCCAGTTTGATATATTTTCAGACAGATTTTTGTTGTTGTTGTTGTTGCTGTTGAGATGGAATCTCGCTCTTTTGCCCAGGCTGGAGTACAGTGGTGCGATCTTGGCTCACTGTAACCTCTGCCTCCTGCGTTCAAGGGATTCTTCTGCCTCAGCTTCCCGAGTAGCTGGGACTACAGGCACGCACCACCACGCCCGGCTAATTTTTGTAATTTTAATAGAGATGGGGTTTCACCATATTGGCCAGGCTGGTCTCGAACTCCTGACCTCAGGTGATCTGCCCACCTTGGTCTCCCAAATTGTAGGGATTACAGGCGTGAGCCACCACCATGCCCAGTCTTAAGACAGATTTTCATCTTTTCCCAGCAGTTATTCAGTTGTTCAGATCTGGAATACACCTAACCAGTCTCCCTGTACTATTTGCCCTTTGGTCCTTATTTAGCTCATTTTTTAAAAGAAAGTGGAGTATCAGAGTAGCTCCTTTGAATACTCCTTTTTTTCTTTTAAATGCTTTGATTCTGAAAAACCATATACAGCTATATCTTTTGTTTCAAGAAGTAACACTCTACCTCAGTGACTGGGATCCAGTAATAGAAAACACTTCAACTTCATTAACTTCACAAATAACTTATTCCTACTTCACAGAAGCAGTGAGTACCTTGAAAACTATGAGAAGCACACAATTTTGATGCTCCCTGGGAAACAGATTTTAAAACCTATCGTAGTATACTAAAACTCCCATAAGAGTTCAGGCCTTACAGACTTGGTTGGCGTTTCAGCACTCCCCTGATTTTTACTATGCAGAAGGCTATGTTTTCATCAGGAAAATGGGGGCAAATAGTTTCCTAAGTAGATCACAAACTGTGGGCACAGAGATTGTTTTGTTTCTTTGTTTCTCTAGCACCTAGCAGCATCTCCAGCACACAGTAGGTACTCAATAACATTGAACGAATTCATTTAAAATTGATTCTATCTCCAGAACAGCAGAGGTTCCCATAATTAAAAGTCTAGTAT
The DNA here is from genome assembly GCF_000001405.40 of Homo sapiens. Classification (NCBI taxonomy): domain Eukaryota; kingdom Metazoa; phylum Chordata; class Mammalia; order Primates; family Hominidae; genus Homo; species Homo sapiens. The sequence goes on from NW_003315942.2 coordinate 99,075, forward strand.
TTGTACTAAAGTAGTGGTTCTTAAACTTTAGAGGGCATAAGGATCCTCTTGGAAATTTTATAAAAATCAGGCTTCAGGGGTCCTACCTGCAGAGGTCCTAATTTGGTCAGTCCAGGCTAGAGTCTGGGAATCTGCATTTTAAGTACATTCCTTGAATGATTTGGGGAAGGGTAGTTTGAGGACCACTCTTTGAGATACACAATTTTTAAAAGCATCCTCTTTGATCCACAAAAAATACCAAAGCAAAATAGAATTTTTTTTTTTTTTTTTGTAAAGAAAACCTTAGGGAAGAGGATTTGGATCAAACGTCAGTCAGCATACTAATTTTCACTTAAGTAATTTATTCAGCAGTTCCGAATTGCCTGCATTTCTTCATAGACATGTATATTTGTAGCCAACAAAGTGGGGAAAAGCAGCTCCACTGTCTGAAGCGGGGCAGATGGTTTGATATTTTACTGATGGCATGGAGGGTGCTTTTAAACCAGTTTTCCTACCAGCATTGGGCCAGATGACTGTTTCTCTAGTTGAGTACCAGATGAAGCAGTTGGCTTGCGTTTAAGCTCTATCTCACACACATATATATGATACATATATATATATATATATATATATATATATATATAGAGAGAGAGAGAGAGAGAGAGAGAGAGAGAGAGAGAGAGAGAGAGAGACTCATATTTATTATAGTGAGAGGCTTTCAAGACCTGGGGCTAATTAAGGAAAGGGGAATTGCGGGCTAAGTGATCAGTGCTTTTAAGTTTCCCTTTCTCTTTGTGTTTTTTGAATGTATGGAGTTGAACGTGAACAAGTTAAATGCCTGTATAATGGAATGTCTCTGTGTAGTTACTGGTGTCCTTTTTAACAACGTAAGTCATGTACATTTTTTTTTCCAGGAGGAAGAAAACAGAACTTAGACCCCAGATACATACTAACCAAAGAGGACTTTTTATCCAATTTTGATATTTTTAAGAAAGTGAGTTGGCTTTCATTTACCTTGAGTTAGGAAACTGGGCTTTATTACCTGGATAGAACACTAATTAGTTCTCAACCTCTTTCTTGAAAAGTGATGGACAAGGAAGGTATAGACCCTATATAATCTGATGATCTATATATGTTGGATAGCTCTCTATCCTATGATGATCTATATCTGTTTTATAGCTCCATATCCTCTGATACGCTATACCTATTGCTTATCTGTGTATCCTCTGATGAGCTATATCTGTTGCATATCCTCTTTCCTTTGATGATCTTTATCTGCTGTATATCTCTCTATCCTCTGATAACCTATATCTGTTGTATATCCCTCTATTCTCTGATGAGCTACACCTGTTGTATATCTATCTCTCTCTATCCTCTGATAACCTATATCTGTTGTATATCCCTCTATTCTCTGATGAGCTATACCTGTTGTATATCTCTCTATATCTGTCTATCCTCTGATAATCTATATCTATTGTATCTCTCTCTATATCTGTCTATCCTCTGATAACCTGTATCTGTTGTATATCTCTCTATATCTGTCTATCCTCTGATAACTTATATCTGTTATATCTCTCTATATATCTGTCTATCCTCTGATATTATAAATCTGTTGTATATCTATTGTCTGATGGGCTATTTTGTATCTATCTTCTGATAACCTGTATCTGTTGAATATCTCGGTATCCTCTGAGGAAGTATACCTGTTATATATTTCTCTCCCTCAGTAGATTAGAAAGCTGATGCAGAGAAATAAAAATAGTAGAAACAATTATTTAGAATTACATGAATGAAGAGCTTCTTTTTCTCCCCCTAATCACCATGTTAACATTTTCTTTTAGAAGAAGCATGTTTTGAGCTATAAATCACATCCAGTGGAAGATGGTGGAACTGATAATCCTGCTTTCAACCACATTGAATTGAACTCAGATCAGAGTGGCAAGAGCAATGGGACTCGTTTGTGAAGCTGCTCTGATACTAGATATCCTTAAATGATGTTTCAATTTTATATGTTTTCTAAGATAATTGGATCAGGTTTTCTTTGTGTGTGTGTGTGTGTTGTATCATGAGTGTTTGGGGGATAAGTTTTTGTTAAAACAAAGTCTGGACTATCTTCATTTACTACATCATTAATTGATGTTACTCTGGAGTTTAGAATTCTGGCATTGACATTTCCCTCTCTTTCCTTTATTTCGATGAAGCTATAATTGTGAAAATTGTAACTACATAGATGCTGAAAGGCTAATACACACATATGCACATGTATTTGATTGTCAAAGGTATATTCTTAAATTTGGGTATTATTGAAAATATTTTCCATGCCTTGGTGCTAGCATATAAGTTTGGAAGTTTGCCAACATCACAATTCATCTTGAAAAGAGCTTTTTTCCCTCCTACCACATACACCATTCTTAGGGAGCAATGAGGTAACAGGTCTGTGTTGTCTAGATCTTTGCTTTTTATCCCCCTATCAGTCCAGGGCATATACTAACCTGCAAACTGATTCTGAATCAGGAAGGTGGTAATCAATAAGTATTCTGGCTGGGAAAGACCGTGGGCCCAATGATCAAAGTCTTCTTGGTGCTGTTCATTAATTCTTGTGCCTTTTGGCTTGTTTTCTAGAGTTTCTGGGCTTTGGCTGCTGATACTGCCTTTCTTAGACTGTAATTTTTATCTGCATGCCCAGTTTCTGACCTATCAACTTGGGTTTTATTGTGCACTCTAACTGAGCTTGTCTTCATAATTTTCTGTTTATTGCCCTGGGCTTGGATATGTCTCAAGACACTCATGTGAATCATGCCACCCCAAATCCTGGCTTATCAAGTCCCAGACTATAAATTATGAACTCCCATTAGCTTGGTACTAACATATACTTGATGTAGGTATTTATGGACTTGATGATCCAAGAATATTATATTCTTCAAAATGGTTAAGCTCCATGGAGTTAGATGACTACACTTAATGCTATTAAGTTGAACTTTTGAATGTCAACTAATTTGCAATCAATTAAAGATACATATGCCTAGAAATTTTGAAATTTCGGTATATTTATCCAGTTAAAGGGCTAAATTATATAAGCAAACACTACTTTTTTTAAAACGTCTGGACTCAAAAAATGCTTTGTTCCATGTTTTAAAATTTTTAAGTAGCAGTCTCAAAGTTGCTTAGCTGTTTATTTTGCTATGTTCCTAGCTAAGAGTTTGGTTATAGGAGTTCATCAATAACTTATTTTTTGTACAGTTCCCACATTAGATACTGTTTAAAAGTTCTTTTTTAAACTCAATTTTTTTTAGAAACATAAGAGAAATATTTAGATACATACAAATGTTTTTATGATTAAATAATTTTATGCTTATTTTCTGATACGTGTTATTTAGGTAATCATGCCCTGTACATTTAGAGGTTGCTAACTGACAATGTTAAGAAATTTTAAAAAAAAAAAAAAGCCTGGGCATGATGGCTCATGCTTGTAATCTGAACATTTGGGAGGCTGAGGCAGGAAGATCGCTTGAGGTCCAGAGTTTAAGTCCAGCCTGGAAACATAGTTAGACCTCATCTCTACAAAAATAAAAAATAAAAATAAAAAAAACTTAGCTAGGCATGTTGCCACATACTTGTAGTCCCAGTTATTAGGGAAGCTGAGGTGGGAGGATAGCTTAAGCCCAGGATTTCAAGGCTGCATTGAGCTATGATTACACCACTGCACTCCAGCCTGGGTAACAGAGTGAAATCTTGTCTCTGGGAAAAAAAAAAAAAAAAAAAAAAAGAGAGAGAGAGAGAGGGAGATTTATATAACATTTAAATTAACTGCATAAACCTGGGCAATGTTCAAAACTCCATCTCTACAAAAAAACACAAGAATTAGCCAGGCACGGTGGTGTGTGTCTGTAGTCTCAGCTACTTAGGAGGCTGAGGTGGGAAGATTGCTAGAGCCAGGAGGTCGAGGCTGCACTGAGCTGTGATTGCGCTACTGTACTCCACCCTGGGTGATGAAGCCCTAACTCAATAAATAAATAAATAAATAAATAATACAAATAAATTAACTATATATTCATGTATTTCTTATGTGGATATATGTTATTTTTTTTTTCCTGCTTTTCTTTTTTTTTATTTTTTTATTATACTTTAAGTTTTAGGGTACATGCGCACATTGTGCAGGTTAGTTACATATGTATACATGTGACATGCTGGTGCGCTGCACCCACTAACTCGTCATCTAGCATTAGGTATATCTCCCAATGCTATCCCTACCCCCTCCCCCCACCCTACCACAGTCCCCAGAGTGGATATTCCCCTTCCTGTGTCCATGTGATCTCATTGTTCAATTCCCACCTATGAGTGAGAATATGCGGTGTTTGGTTTTTTGTTCTTGCCATAGTTTACTGAGAATGATGATTTCCAATTTCATCCATGTCCCTACAAAGGACATGAACTCATCATTTTTTATGGCTGCATAGTATTCCATGGTGTATAAGTGCCACATTTTCTTAATCCAGTCTATCATTGTTGGACATTTGGGTTGGTTCCAAGTCTTTGCTATTGTGAATAATGCTGCAATAAACATACGTGTGCATGTGTCTTTATAGCAGCATGATTTATAGTGCTTTGGGTATATACCCAGTAATGGGATGGCTGGGTCAAATGGTATTTCTAGTTCTAGATCCCTGAGGAATCGCCACACTGACTTCCACAGTGGTTGAACTAGTTTACAGTCCCACCAACAGTGTAAAAGTGTTCCTGTTTCTCCACATCCTCCCCAGCACCTGTTGTTTCCTGACTTTTTAATCATTGCCATTCTAACTGGTGTGAGATGGTATCTCATTGTGGTTTTGATTTGCATTTCTCTGATGGCCAGTGATGATGAGCATTTTTTCATGTGTTTTTTGGCTGCATAAATGTCTTCTTTTGAGAAGTGTCTGTTCATGTCCTTCACCCACTTTTTGATGGGGTTGTTTGTTTTTTTCTTGTAAATTTGTTTGAGTTCATTGTAGATTCTGGATATTAGCCCTTTGTCAGATGAGTAGGTTGCAAAAATTTTCTCCCATTTTGCAGGTTGCCTGTTCACTCTGATGGTAGTTTCTTTTGCTGTGCAGAAGCTCTTTAGTTTAATTAGATCCCATTTGTCAATTTTGTCTTTTGTTGCCATTGCTTTTGGTGTTTTGGACATGAAGTCCTTGCCCATGCCTATGTCCTGAATGGTAATGCCTAGGTTTTCTTCTAGAGTTTTTATGGTTTTAGGTCTAACGTTTAAGTCTTTAATCCATCTTGAATTGATTTTTGTATAAGGTGTAAGGAAGGGATCCAGTTTCAGCTTTCTACATATGGCTAGCCAGTTTTCCCAGCACCATTTATTAAATAGGGAATCCTTTCCCCATTGCTTGTTTTTCTCAGGTTTGTCAAAGATCAGATAGTTGTAGATATGAGGCGTTATTTCTGAGGGCTCTGTTCTGTTCCATTGATCTATATCTCTGTTTTGGTACCAGTACCATGCTGTTTTGGTTACTGTAGCCTTGTAGTATAGTTTGAAGTGAGGTAGCGTGATGCCTCCAGCTTTGTTCTTTTGGCTTAAGATTGCCTTGGCAATGCGGGCTCTTTTTTGGTTCCATATGAACTTTAAAGTAGTTTTTTCCAATTCTGTGAAGAAAGTCATTGGTAGCTTTATGGGGATAGCATTGAATCTGTAAATTACCTTGGGCAGTATGGCCATTTTCACGATATTGATTCTTCTTACCCATGAGCATGGAATGTTCTTCCATTTGTTTGTATCCTCTTTTATTTCCTTGAGCAGTGGTTTGTAGTTCTCCTTGAAGAGGTCCTTCACATCCCTTGTAAGTTGGATTCCTAGGTATTTTATTCTCTTTGAAGCAATTGTGAATGGGAGTTCACTCATGATTTGGCTCTCTGTTTGTCTGTTGTTGGTGTATAAGAATGCTTGTGATTTTGGTACATTCATTTTGTATCCTGAGACTTTGCTGAAGTTGCTTATCAGCTTAAGGAGATTTTGGGCTGAGTCAATGGGGTTTTCTAGATATACAATCATGTCGTCTGCAAACAGGGACAATTTGACTTCCTCTTTTCCTAATTGAATACCCTTTATTTCCTTCTCCTGCCTGATTGCCCTGGCCAGAACTTCCAACACTATGTTGAATAGGAGCGGTGAGAGAGGGCATCCCTGTCTTGTGCCAGTTTTCAAAGGGAATGCTTCCAGTTTTTGCCTATTCAGTATGATATTGGCTGTAGGTCTGTCATAGATAGCTCTTATTATTTTGAAATACATCCCATCAATACCTAATTTATTGAGAGTTTTTAGCATGAAGGGTTGTTGAATTTTGTCAAAGGCTTTTTCTGCATCTATTGAGATAATCATGTGGTTTTTGTCTTTGGCTCTGTTTATATACTGGATTACATTTATTGATTTGCATATATTGAACCAGCCTTGCATCCCAGGGATGAAGCCCACTTGATCATGGTGGATAAGCTTTTTGATGTGCTGCTGGATTCGTTTTGCCAGTATTTTATTGAGGATTTTTGCATCAATGTTCATCAAGGATATTGGTCTAAAATTCTCTCTTTTGGTTGTGTCTCTGCCCGGCTTTGTTATCAGAATGATGCTGGCCTCATAAAATGAGTTAGGGAGGATTCCCTCTTTTTCTATTGATTGGAATAGTTTCAGAAGGAATGGTACCAGTTCCTCCTTGTACCTCTGGTAGAATTCGGCTGTGAATCCATCTGGTCCTGGACTCTTTTTGGTTGGTAAACTATTGATAATTGCCACAATTTCAGCTCCTGTTATTGGTCTATTCAGAGATTCAACTTCTTCCTGGTTTAGTCTTGGGAGAGTGTATGTGTCGAGGAATTTTTCCATTTCTTCTAGATTTTCTAGTTTATTTGCGTAGAGTTGTTTGTAGTATTCTCTGATGGTAGTTTGTATTTCTGTGGGATCGGTGGTGATATCCCCTTTATCATTTTTTATTGTGTCTATTTGATTCTTCTCTCTTTTTTTCTTTATTAGTCTTGCTAGCGGTCTATCAATTTTGTTGATCCTTTCAAAAAACCAGCTCCTGGATTCATTAATTTTTGGAAGGGTTTTTTGTGTCTCTATTTCCTTCAGTTCTGCTCTGATTTTAGTTATTTCTTGCCTTCTGCTAGCTTTTGAATGTGTTTGCTCTTGCTTTTCTAGTTTTTTTTTTTTTATTATTATACTCTAAGTTTTAGGGTACATGTGCACATTGTGCAGGTTAGTTACATATGTATACATGTGACATGCTGGTGCGCTGCACCCACCAACGTGTCATCTAGCATTAGGTATATCTCCCAATGCTATCCCTCCCCCCTCCCCCGACCCCACCACAGTCCCCAGAGTGTGATATTCCCCTTCCTGTGTCCATGTGATCTCATTGTTCAATTCCCACCTATGAGTGAGAATATGTGGTGTTTGGTTTTTTGTTCTTGCGATAGTTTACTGAGAATGATGGTTTCCAATTTCATCCATGTCCCTACAAAGGACATGAACTCATCATTTTTTTATGGCTGTATAGTATTCCATGGGTGTATATGTGGCCACATTTTCTTAATCCAGTCTATCATTGTTGGACATTTGGGTTGGTTCCAAGTCTTTGCTATTGTGAATAGTGCCGCAATAAACATACGTGTGCATGTGTCTTTATAGCAGCATGATTTATAGTCCTTTGGGTATATACCCAGTAATGGGATGGCTGGGTCAAATGGTATTTCTAGTTCTAGATCCCTGAGGAATCGCCACACTGACTTCCACAGTGGTTGAACTAGTTTACAGTCCCACCAACAGTGTAAAAGTGTTCCTGTTTCTCCACATCCTCCCCAGCACCTGTTGTTTCCTGACTTTTTAATCATTGCCATTCTAACTGGTGTGAGATGGTATCTCATTGTGGTTTTGATTTGCATTTCTCTGATGGCCAGTGATGATGAGCATTTTTTCATGTGTTTTTTGGCTGCATAAATGTCTTCTTTTGAGAAGTGTCTGTTCATGTCCTTCGCCCACTTTTTGATGGGGTTGTTTGTTTTTTTCTTGTAAATTTGTTTGAGTTCATTGTAGATTCTGGATATTAGCCCTTTGTCAGATGAGTAGGTTGCAAAAATTTTCTCCCATTTTGCAGGTTGCCTGTTCACTCTGATGGTAGTTTCTTTTGCTGTGCAGAAGCTCTTTAGTTTAATTAGATCCCATTTGTCAATTTTGTCTTTTGTTGCCATTGCTTTTGGTGTTTTGGACATGAAGTCCTTGCCCATGCCTATGTCCTGAATGGTAATGCCTAGGTTTTCTTCTAGAGTTTTTATGGTTTTAGGTCTAACGTTTAAGTCTTTAATCCATCTTGAATTGATTTTTGTATAAGGTGTAAGGAAGGGATCCAGTTTCAGCTTTCTACATATGGCTAGCCAGTTTTCCCAGCACCATTTATTAAATAGGGAATCCTTTCCCCATTGCTTGTTTTTCTCAGGTTTGTCAAAGATCAGATAGTTGTAGATATGAGGCGTTATTTCTGAGGGCTCTGTTCTGTTCCATTGATCTATATCTCTGTTTTGGTACCAGTACCATGCTGTTTTGGTTACTGTAGCCTTGTAGTATAGTTTGAAGTGAGGTAGCGTGATGCCTCCAGCTTTGTTCTTTTGGCTTAAGATTGCCTTGGCAATGCGGGCTCTTTTTTGGTTCCATATGAACTTTAAAGTAGTTTTTTCCAATTCTGTGAAGAAAGTCATTGGTAGCTTTATGGGGATAGCATTGAATCTGTAAATTACCTTGGGCAGTATGGCCATTTTCACGATATTGATTCTTCTTACCCATGAGCATGGAATGTTCTTCCATTTGTTTGTATCCTCTTTTATTTCCTTGAGCAGTGGTTTGTAGTTCTCCTTGAAGAGGTCCTTCACATCCCTTGTAAGTTGGATTCCTAGGTATTTTATTCTCTTTGAAGCAATTGTGGAATGGGAGTTCACTCCATGATTTGGCTCTCTGTTTGTCTGTTGTTGGTGGTATAAGAATGCTTGTGATTTTGGTACATTCATTTTGTATCCTGAGACTTTGCTGAAGTTGCTTATCAGCTTAAGGAGATTTTGGGCTGAGTCAATGGGGTTTTCTAGATATACAATCATGTCGTCTGCAAACAGGGACAATTTGACTTCCTCTTTTCCTAATTGAATACCCTTTATTTCCTTCTCCTGCCTGATTGCCCTGGCCAGAACTTCCAACACTATGTTGAATAGGAGCGGTGAGAGAGGGCATCCCTGTCTTGTGCCAGTTTTCAAAGGGAATGCTTCCAGTTTTTGCCTATTCAGTATGATATTGGCTGTAGGTCTGTCATAGATAGCTCTTATTATTTTGAAATACATCCCATCAATACCTAATTTATTGAGAGTTTTTAGCATGAAGGGTTGTTGAATTTTGTCAAAGGCTTTTTCTGCATCTATTGAGATAATCATGTGGTTTTTGTCTTTGGCTCTGTTTATATACTGGATTACATTTATTGATTTGCATATATTGAACCAGCCTTGCATCCCAGGGATGAAGCCCACTTGATCATGGTGGATAAGCTTTTTGATGTGCTGCTGGATTCGTTTTGCCAGTATTTTATTGAGGATTTTTGCATCAATGTTCATCAAGGATATTGGTCTAAAATTCTCTCTTTTGGTTGTGTCTCTGCCCGGCTTTGTTATCAGAATGATGCTGGCCTCATAAAATGAGTTAGGGAGGATTCCCTCTTTTTCTATTGATTGGAATAGTTTCAGAAGGAATGGTACCAGTTCCTCCTTGTACCTCTGGTAGAATTCGGCTGTGAATCCATCTGGTCCTGGACTCTTTTTGGTTGGTAAACTATTGATAATTGCCACAATTTCAGCTCCTGTTATTGGTCTATTCAGAGATTCAACTTCTTCCTGGTTTAGTCTTGGGAGAGTGTATGTGTCGAGGAATTTTTCCATTTCTTCTAGATTTTCTAGTTTATTTGCGTAGAGTTGTTTGTAGTATTCTCTGATGGTAGTTTGTATTTCTGTGGGATCGGTGGTGATATCCCCTTTATCATTTTTTATTGTGTCTATTTGATTCTTCTCTCTTTTTTTCTTTATTAGTCTTGCTAGCGGTCTATCAATTTTGTTGATCCTTTCAAAAAACCAGCTCCTGGATTCATTAATTTTTGGAAGGGTTTTTTGTGTCTCTATTTCCTTCAGTTCTGCTCTGATTTTAGTTATTTCTTGCCTTCTGCTAGCTTTTGAATGTGTTTGCTCTTGCTTTTCTAGTTTTTTTTTTTTTATTATTATACTCTAAGTTTTAGGGTACATGTGCACATTGTGCAGGTTAGTTACATATGTATACATGTGACATGCTGGTGCGCTGCACCCACCAACGTGTCATCTAGCATTAGGTATATCTCCCAATGCTATCCCTCCCCCCTCCCCCGACCCCACCACAGTCCCCAGAGTGTGATATTCCCCTTCCTGTGTCCATGTGATCTCATTGTTCAATTCCCACCTATGAGTGAAGAATATGTGGTGTTTGGTTTTTTGTTCTTGCGATAGTTTACTGAGAATGATGGTTTCCAATTTCATCCATGTCCCTACAAAGGACATGAACTCATCATTTTTTATGGCTGTATAGTATTCCATGGTGTATATGTGCCACATTTTCTTAATCCAGTCTATCATTGTTGGACATTTGGGTTGGTTCCAAGTCTTTGCTATTGTGAATAGTGCCGCAATAAACATACGTGTGCATGTGTCTTTATAGCAGCATGATTTATAGTCCTTTGGGTATATACCCAGTAATGGGATGGCTGGGTCAAATGGTATTTCTAGTTCTAGATCCCTGAGGAATCGCCACACTGACTTCCACAGTGGTTGAACTAGTTTACAGTCCCACCAACAGTGTAAAAGTGTTCCTGTTTCTCCACATCCTCCCCAGCACCTGTTGTTTCCTGACTTTTTAATCATTGCCATTCTAACTGGTGTGAGATGGTATCTCATTGTGGTTTTGATTTGCATTTCTCTGATGGCCAGTGATGATGAGCATTTTTTCATGTGTTTTTTGGCTGCATAAATGTCTTCTTTTGAGAAGTGTCTGTTCATGTCCTTCGCCCACTTTTTGATGGGGTTGTTTGTTTTTTTCTTGTAAATTTGTTTGAGTTCATTGTAGATTCTGGATATTAGCCCTTTGTCAGATGAGTAGGTTGCAAAAATTTTCTCCCATTTTGCAGGTTGCCTGTTCACTCTGATGGTAGTTTCTTTTGCTGTGCAGAAGCTCTTTAGTTTAATTAGATCCCATTTGTCAATTTTGTCTTTTGTTGCCATTGCTTTTGGTGTTTTGGACATGAAGTCCTTGCCCATGCCTATGTCCTGAATGGTAATGCCTAGGTTTTCTTCTAGAGTTTTTATGGTTTTAGGTCTAACGTTTAAGTCTTTAATCCATCTTGAATTGATTTTTGTATAAGGTGTAAGGAAGGGATCCAGTTTCAGCTTTCTACATATGGCTAGCCAGTTTTCCCAGCACCATTTATTAAATAGGGAATCCTTTCCCCATTGCTTGTTTTTCTCAGGTTTGTCAAAGATCAGATAGTTGTAGATATGAGGCGTTATTTCTGAGGGCTCTGTTCTGTTCCATTGATCTATATCTCTGTTTTGGTACCAGTACCATGCTGTTTTGGTTACTGTAGCCTTGTAGTATAGTTTGAAGTGAGGTAGCGTGATGCCTCCAGCTTTGTTCTTTTGGCTTAAGATTGCCTTGGCAATGCGGGCTCTTTTTTGGTTCCATATGAACTTTAAAGTAGTTTTTTCCAATTCTGTGAAGAAAGTCATTGGTAGCTTTATGGGGATAGCATTGAATCTGTAAATTACCTTGGGCAGTATGGCCATTTTCACGATATTGATTCTTCTTACCCATGAGCATGGAATGTTCTTCCATTTGTTTGTATCCTCTTTTATTTCCTTGAGCAGTGGTTTGTAGTTCTCCTTGAAGAGGTCCTTCACATCCCTTGTAAGTTGGATTCCTAGGTATTTTATTCTCTTTGAAGCAATTGTGAATGGGAGTTCACTCATGATTTGGCTCTCTGTTTGTCTGTTGTTGGTGTATAAGAATGCTTGTGATTTTGGTACATTCATTTTGTATCCTGAGACTTTGCTGAAGTTGCTTATCAGCTTAAGGAGATTTTGGGCTGAGTCAATGGGGTTTTCTAGATATACAATCATGTCGTCTGCAAACAGGGACAATTTGACTTCCTCTTTTCCTAATTGAATACCCTTTATTTCCTTCTCCTGCCTGATTGCCCTGGCCAGAACTTCCAACACTATGTTGAATAGGAGCGGTGAGAGAGGGCATCCCTGTCTTGTGCCAGTTTTCAAAGGGAATGCTTCCAGTTTTTGCCTATTCAGTATGATATTGGCTGTAGGTCTGTCATAGATAGCTCTTATTATTTTGAAATACATCCCATCAATACCTAATTTATTGAGAGTTTTTAGCATGAAGGGTTGTTGAATTTTGTCAAAGGCTTTTTCTGCATCTATTGAGATAATCATGTGGTTTTTGTCTTTGGCTCTGTTTATATACTGGATTACATTTATTGATTTGCATATATTGAACCAGCCTTGCATCCCAGGGATGAAGCCCACTTGATCATGGTGGATAAGCTTTTTGATGTGCTGCTGGATTCGTTTTGCCAGTATTTTATTGAGGATTTTTGCATCAATGTTCATCAAGGATATTGGTCTAAAATTCTCTCTTTTGGTTGTGTCTCTGCCCGGCTTTGTTATCAGAATGATGCTGGCCTCATAAAATGAGTTAGGGAGGATTCCCTCTTTTTCTATTGATTGGAATAGTTTCAGAAGGAATGGTACCAGTTCCTCCTTGTACCTCTGGTAGAATTCGGCTGTGAATCCATCTGGTCCTGGACTCTTTTTGGTTGGTAAACTATTGATAATTGCCACAATTTCAGCTCCTGTTATTGGTCTATTCAGAGATTCAACTTCTTCCTGGTTTAGTCTTGGGAGAGTGTATGTGTCGAGGAATTTTTCCATTTCTTCTAGATTTTCTAGTTTATTTGCGTAGAGTTGTTTGTAGTATTCTCTGATGGTAGTTTGTATTTCTGTGGGATCGGTGGTGATATCCCCTTTATCATTTTTTATTGTGTCTATTTGATTCTTCTCTCTTTTTTTCTTTATTAGTCTTGCTAGCGGTCTATCAATTTTGTTGATCCTTTCAAAAAACCAGCTCCTGGATTCATTAATTTTTGGAAGGGTTTTTTGTGTCTCTATTTCCTTCAGTTCTGCTCTGATTTTAGTTATTTCTTGCCTTCTGCTAGCTTTTGAATGTGTTTGCTCTTGCTTTTCTAGTTTTTTTTTTTTTATTATTATACTCTAAGTTTTAGGGTACATGTGCACATTGTGCAGGTTAGTTACATATGTATACATGTGACATGCTGGTGCGCTGCACCCACCAACGTGTCATCTAGCATTAGGTATATCTCCCAATGCTATCCCTCCCCCCTCCCCCGACCCCACCACAGTCCCCAGAGTGTGATATTCCCCTTCCTGTGTCCATGTGATCTCATTGTTCAATTCCCACCTATGAGTGAGAATATGTGGTGTTTGGTTTTTTGTTCTTGCGATAGTTTACTGAGAATGATGGTTTCCAATTTCATCCATGTCCCTACAAAGGACATGAACTCATCATTTTTTATGGCTGTATAGTATTCCATGGTGTATATGTGCCACATTTTCTTAATCCAGTCTATCATTGTTGGACATTTGGGTTGGTTCCAAGTCTTTGCTATTGTGAATAGTGCCGCAATAAACATACGTGTGCATGTGTCTTTATAGCAGCATGATTTATAGTCCTTTGGGTATATACCCAGTAATGGGATGGCTGGGTCAAATGGTATTTCTAGTTCTAGATCCCTGAGGAATCGCCACACTGACTTCCACAATGGTTGAACTAGTTTACAGTCCCACCAACAGTGTAAAAGTGTTCCTATTTCTCCACATCCTCTCCAGCACCTGTTGTTTCCTGACTTTTTAATGATTGCCATTCTAACTGGTGTGAGATGATATCTCATAGTGGTTTTGATTTGCATTTCTCTGATGGCCAGTGATGATGAGCATTTCTTCATGTGTTTTTTGGCTGCATAAATGTCTTCTTTTGAGAAGTGTCTGTTCATGTCCTTCGCCCACTTTTTGATGGGGTTGTTTGTTTTTTTCTTGTAAATTTGTTTGAGTTCATTGTAGATTCTGGATATTAGCCCTTTGTCAGATGAGTAGGTTGCGAAAATTTTCTCCCATGTTGTAGGTTGCCTGTTCACTCTGATGGTAGTTTCTTTTGCTGTGCAGAAGCTCTTTAGTTTAATTAGATCCCATTTGTCAATTTTGGCTTTTGTTGCCATTGCTTTTGGTGTTTTGGACATGAAGTCCTTGCCCACGCCTATGTCCTGAATGGTAATGCCTAGGTTTTCTTCTAGGGTTTTTATGGTTTTAGGTCTAACGTTTAAGTCTTTAATCCATCTTGAATTGATTTTTGTATAAGGTGTAAGGAAGGGATCCAGTTTCAGCTTTCTACATATGGCTAGCCAGTTTTCCCAGCACCATTTATTAAATAGGGAATCCTTTCCCCATTGCTTGTTTTTCTCAGGTTTGTCAAAGATCAGATAGTTGTAGATATGCGGCATTATTTCTGAGGGCTCTGTTCTGTTCCATTGATCTATATCTCTGTTTTGGTACCAGTACCATGCTGTTTTGGTTACTGTAGCCTTGTAGTATAGTTTGAAGTCAGGTAGTGTGATGCCTCCAGCTTTGTTCTTTTGGCTTAGGATTGACTTGGCGATGTGGGCTCTTTTTTGGTTCCATATGAACTTTAAAGTAGTTTTTTCTAATTCTGTGAAGAAAGTCATTGGTAGCTTGATGGGGATGGCATTGAATCTGTAAATTACCTTGGGCAGTATGGCCATTTTCACGATATTGATTCTTCCTACCCATAAGCATGGAATGTTCTTCCATTTGTTTGTGTCCTCTTTTATTTCCTTGAGCAGTGGTTTGTAGTTCTCCTTGAAGAGGTCCTTCACATCCCTTGTAAGTTGGATTCCTAGGTATTTTATTCTCTTTGAAGCAATTGTGAATGGGAGTTCACTCATGATTTGGCTCTCTGTTTGTCTGTTGTTGGTGTATAAGAATGCTTGTGATTTTGGTACATTGATTTTGTATCCTGAGACTTTGCTGAAGTTGCTTATCAGCTTAAGGAGATTTTGGGCTGAGTCAATGGGGTTTTCTAGATATACAATCATGTCGTCTGCAAACAGGGACAATTTGACTTCCTCTTTTCCTAATTGAATACCCTTTATTTCCTTCTCCTGCCTGATTGCCCTGGCCAGAACTTCCAACACTATGTTGAATAGGAGCGGTGAGAGAGGGCATCCCTGTCTTGTGCCAGTTTTCAAAGGGAATGCTTCCAGTTTTTGCCCATTCAGTATGATATTGGCTGTGGGTTTGTCATAGATAGCTCTTATTATTTTGAAATACGTCCCATCAATACCTAATTTATTGAGAGTTTTTAGCATGAAGGGTTGTTGAATTTTGTCAAAGGCTTTTTCTGCATCTATTGAGATAATCATGTGGTTTTTGTCTTTGGCTCTGTTTATATGCTGGATTACATTTATTGATTTGCGTATATTGAACCAGCCTTGCATCCCAGGGATGAAGCCCACTTGATCATGGTGGATAAGCTTTTTGATGTGCTGCTGGATTCGGTTTGCCAGTATTTTATTGAGGATTTTTGCATCAATGTTCATCAATGATATTGGTCTAAAATTCTCTTTTTTGGTTGTGTCTCTGCCTGGCTTTGGTATCAGAATGATGCTGGCCTCATAAAATGAGTTAGGGAGGATTCCCTCTTTTTCTATTGATTGGAATAGTTTCAGAAGGAATGGTACCAGTTCCTCCTTGTACCTCTGGTAGAATTCGGCTGTGAATCCATCTGGTCCTGGACTCTTTTTGGTTGGTAAACTATTGATTATTGCCACAATTTCAGCTCCTGTTATTGGTCTATTCAGAGATTCAACTTCTTCCTGGTTTAGTCTTGGGAGAGTGTATGTGTCGAGGAATGTATCCAATTCTTCTAGATTTTCTAGTTTATTTGCGTAGAGTTGTTTGTAGTATTCTCTGATGGTAGTTTGTATTTCTGTGGGATCGGTGGTGATATCCCCTTTATCATTTTTTATTGTGTCTATTTGATTCTTCTCTCTTTTTTTCTTTATTAGTCTTGCTAGCGGTCTATCAATTTTGTTGATCCTTTCAAAAAACCAGCTCCTGGATTCATTGATTTTTGGAAGGGTTTTTTGTGTCTCTATTTCCTTCAGTTCTGCTCTGATTTTAGTTATTTCTTGCCTTCTGCTAGCTTTTGAATGTGTTTGCTCTTGCTTTTCTAGTTTTTTTAATTGTGCTGTTAGGGTGTCAATTTGGATCTTTCCTGCTTTCTCTTGTGGGCATTTAGTGCTGTAAATTTCCCTCTACACACTGCTTTGAATGCGTCCCAGAGATTCTGGTATGTTGTGTCTTTGTTCTCGTTGGTTTCAAAGAACATCTTTATTTCTGCCTTCATTTCGTTATGTATCCAGTAGTCATTCAGGAGCAGGTTGTTCAGTTTCCATGTAGTTGAGCGGTTTTGAGTGAGATTCTTAATCCTGAGTTCTAGTTTGATTGCACTGTGGTCTGAGAGATAGTTTGTTATAATCTCTGTTCTTTTACATTTGCTGAGGAGAGCTTTACTTCCAAGTATGTGGTCAATTTTGGAATAGGTGTGGTGTGATGCTGAAAAAAATGTATATTCTGTTGATTTGGGGTGGAGAGTTCTGTAGATGTCTATTAGGTCCGCTTGGTGCAGAGTTGAGTTCAATTCCTGGGTATCCTTGTTCACTTCCTGTCTCGTTGATCTGTCTAATGTTGACAGTGGGGTGTTAAAGTCTCCCATTATTAATGTGTGGGAGTCTAAGTCTTTTTGTAGGTCACTCAGGACTTGCTTTATGAATCTGGGTGCTCCTGTATTGGGTGTATATATATTTAGGATAGTTAGCTCTTCTTGTTGAATTGATCCCTTTACCATTATGTAACGGCCTTCTTTGTCTCTTTTGATCTTTGTTGGTTTAAAGTCTGTTTTATCCGAGACTAGGATTGCAACCCCTGCCTTTTTTTGTTTTCCATTTGCTTGGTAGATCTTCCTTCATCCTTTTATTTTGAGCCTATGTGTGTCTCTGCACGTGAGATGGGTTTCCTGAATACAGCACACTGATGGGTCTTGACTCTTTATCCAATTTGCCAGCCTGTGTCTTTTAATTGGAGCATTTAATCCATTTACATTTAAAGTTAATATTGTTATGTGTGAATTTGATCCTGTCATTATGATGTTAGCTGGTGATTTTGCTCGTTAGTTAATGCAGTTTCTTCCTAGTCTCGATGGTCTTTACATGTTGGCATGATTTTGCAGCGGCTGGTACCGGTTGTTCCTTTCCATGTTTAGCGCTTCCTTCAGGAGCTCTTTTAGGGCAGGCCTGGTGGTGACAAAATCTCTCAGCATTTGCTTGTCTGTAAAGTATTTTATTTCTTCTTCACTTATGAAGCTTAGTTTGGCTGGATATGAAATTCTGGGTTGAAAATTCTTTTCTTTAAGAATGTTGAATATTGGCCCCCACTCTCTTCTGGCTTATAGGGTTTCTGCCGAGAGATCTGCTGTTAGTCTGATGGGCTTCCCTTTGAGGGTAACCTGACCTTTCTCTCTGGCTGCCCTTAACATTTTTTCCTTCATTTCAACTTTGGTGAATCTGACAATTATGTGTCTTGGAGTTGCTCTTCTTGAGGAGTATCTTTGTGGCGTTCTCTGTATTTCCTGAATCTGAACGTTGGCCTGCCTTGCTAGATTGGGGAAGTTCTCCTGGATAATATCCTGCAGAGTGTTTTCCAACTTGGTTCCATTCTCCCCATCACTTTCCGGTACACCGATCAGACGTAGATTTGGTCTTTTCACATAGTCCCATATTTCTTGGAGGCTTTGCTCATTTCTTTTTATTCTTTTTTCTCTAAACTTCCCTTCTCGCTTCATTTCATTCATTTCATCTTCCATCGCTGATACCCTTTCTTCCAGTTGATCGCATTGGCTCCTGAGGCTTCTGCATTCTTCACATAGTTCTCGAGCCTTGGTTTTCAGCTCCATCAGCTCCTTTAAGCACTTCTCTGTATTGGTTATTCTAGTTATACATTCTTCTAAATTTTTTTCAAAGTTTTCAACTTCTTTGCCTTTGGTTTGAATGTCCTCCCATAGCTCAGAGTAATTTGATCGTCTGAAGCCTTCTTCTCTCAGCTCGTCAAAGTCATTCTCCATCCAGCTTTGTTCCGTTGCTGGTGAGGAACTGCGTTCCTTTGGAGGAGGAGAGGCGCTCTGCGTTTTAGAGTTTCCAGTTTTTCTGTTCTGTTTTTTCCCCATCTTTGTGGTTTTATCTACTTTTGGTCTTTGATGATGGTGATGTACAGATGGGTTTTTGGTGTGGATGTCCTTTCTGTTTGTTAGTTTTCCTTCTAACAGACAGGACCCTCAGCTGCAGGTCTGTTGGAATACCCTGCCCTGTGAGGTGTCAGTGTGCCCCTGCTGGGGGGTGCCTCCCAGTTAGGCTGCTCAGGGGTCAGGGACCCACTTGAGGAGGCAGTCTGCCCGTTCTCAGATCTCCAGCTGCGTGCTGGGAGAACCACTGCTCTCTACAAAGCTGTCAGACAGGGACATTTAAGTCTGCAGAGGTTACTGCTGTCTTTTTGTTTGTCTGTGCCCTGCCCCCAGAGGTGGAGCCTACAGAGGCAGGCAGGCCTCCTTGAGCTGTGGTGGGCTCCACCCAGTTCGAGCTTCCCGGCTGTTTTGTTTACCTAATCAAGCCTGGGCAATGGCGGGCGCCCCTCCCCCAGCCTCGCTGCCGCCTTGCAGTTTGATCTCAGACTGCTGTGCTAGCAATCAGCGAGATTCCGTGGGCGTAGGACCCTCCGAGCCAGGTGCAGGATATAATCTCGTGGTGCGCCGTTTTTTAAGCCGGTCCGAAAAGCGCAATATTCGGGTGGGAGTGACCTGATTATCCAGGTGCGTCTGTCACCCCTTTTTTTGACTCGGAAAGGGAACTCCCTGTCCCCTTGCGCTTCCCAAGTGAGACAATGCCTCGCCCTGCTTCGGCTTGCGCATGGTGCACGCACCCACTGACCCGCGCCCACTGTCTGGCACTCCCTAGTGAGATGAACCCTGTACCTCAGATGGAAATGCAGAAATCACCTGTCTTCTGCGTCGCTCACGCTGGGAGCTGTATACCGGAGCTGTTCCTATTTGGCCATCTTGGCTCCTCCCCCGGTATTCCTTCTTTTCTTCCACTGTGAGAGTTACTTAAAGCTCGGCGTCCGTGATGGTCTAGGGGGCTTCTGAGGCGATCGGGCAGTGTCCGTCTTCAGCCGCTAAGCCGAGAAGATCTGGGAAGGAGTCAGTCAGAGAGCCTTGGGCCAGAGTTCCAGGGCCTCTGGGAGTGGCTGCCAGGTGAGTTGAACAGTCCGATTTTCAGTGGGGTCCCACACAGATGGGACATGGCTTAGGAGGAATCCCAGGCTGTGGGCATTCCTTGGCCCAGTGGCCAGATTCGATATATGTTATTTTTAAATCACTGTATTTGTAAGCAAATATCAAATTTAGGGAAGTCTTTCTACAATGTTTTAATAAGTAGAAAGATATGTTTGTTTTACATGAATGTGTTTTGAACTATGGTTATTTGTTTAATAATTCTAAATGCATATGTGTGTAAAATGCTTCAATTTTGGAAATCAAAGTCAGGCCATTTTTTTGTCTTACCTGATTGCCAGGGAGTTACGCCATGTATTCTTAATGAGAAACATGATGTTTCCATTCTTGTTCACTTTCCTTTAGACAGAATATATTTTTGTGACATTTAGAACTATCAATATTTTAGTTTTATAAACACAGGAGAATGCCTGATAGAATTCTTAAGAAAGCAATGTAACAGTATTAGCTCAAAATAATTTATCTTAATTTCTAAATTTTTAGATAAAACCAAATAAGGGTTAAATGTTAATCCATTGTCACTTAAATTACATAATCTGCTACTCTTAGTTATTTGAATGACAAAAACACCAGTGGGGGAAAAACCATACAAGTTGTCAATGTCTGTTTTGCTGTTGACAAGTTGTATACCCTTAAATTGACCCCTAATCTCCTCTAACAATGGTACATAGCACTAAGCTCCTACCTACCTCACAGAAATAATGTCAGTAGAAAAGATCAGGTTGAGTTCTTTGGCAGAATAGCACTTTACTAACTCAAATAGTGTTACTTAATATTTCAATATGATTGGGAATCAAAGTTTGAGACAAAAGTCATTTGCCAGTTTTAAAAAATAGAGCTGTTAATTTGCAATATCATGATGTAGAGATAGTGCCTTCTCTTAAAAATGTGTGTCATGGAAATAGTAAAATATATTTAGGAGTCAGCAGGATTATTCCAACAGAGGGAGTGTAAACTTTAAAGAAAAATATGATTCGGGAGGCTGAGGTGGGTGGATCATGAGGTCAGGAGTTCGAGACCAGCCTGGCCAACATAGTGAAACCCCGTCTCTACTAAAAATACAAAAATTAGCTGGGCATGGTGGCACACACCTGTAGTCCCAGCTACTCGGGAGGCTGAGGCAGGAGAATCGCTTGAACCTGGGAGGTGGAGGTTGTGGTGAGCCGAGATCACACCACTGCACTCCAGCCTGGGCAACAGAGCGAGATTCCATCTCAAAAAATACATATATATTTTTGACATATATAATATATATATGTCAGTAATATTCACCCCATAGAAAATGAAAATTTTATAGGAAAGATGTAAAACAGCATAAATTCACATTCATCTTATTAGTTGCTTATGCAATCATTTTCTCTCCAGATCATTGGTTCTCAAAGGGGACAATTTTGCCTCTCAGGGGATATTTGGAAATGTCTGGAGACATTTTTGGATGGCACTAGTGGTATCTAGTAGGTAGAATTTAGGGAAACTGGTAAACATCTCCTGAGGCCTGCAAGGGTGCTCTCCTCCTCCACAACAAAAAATTATCCAGCCTAAGATGTCCATAGTGTAGAGTTGGAGAAACCTTGCCCTGGAGAATAAGGTTGATTTTCTTGAAGTCACACAGCCTGGTTGTGTTTCTATAGGGAAACAGCCTGAAAATTCTATCTGAATGTTCTCATCTACAGGTAAGGATGAAAATGCCACTGGCATATCTAATATTATGATGCAGAACAATGACCATGTATTTTCACAGCATTATGAAATTATTAAGGACCATAGAATTGTGAATAATTATTTAAAGAAGTCTTAGGACAGTTTAGATTCTCCACATGCCTTCTAATATTGACACACATTAGGATGAAGGAAATATTAAATACATACATGTAAAGATTTTGAATTTTTTTTCAACTGAGCGTCCAGGATATAAATACAAGGAACAGGGAGGGGGTTGAGATGGCGGAAGTAACTCTGTATTGATTCTTATAGGAAATTCTGAGTTTTTCCATAAAGACAAAGAGTTTATTGAGTACATGAGCATTTAGTTACTGAAAATTCACTGTATGCTTTTCTAAGTTTTGAGCTTATTGTTTATGAAATCCTTGAGAAAGTTGAACATTTCAATGTAAAAACATGGTTGTGAATCTGAATTTTCAACTTGCTGATTAAACTCCCTGCAAGTTTCTTTGCAGTTGTCTGTTTTGGGGGGATAAATGTCAAATTGAATACAGTTAATTTTATCAGCCTTTACAAAAAGATACTTCCACCCTATTTACAACATAAAGGACTATTCCTAAGTGCTGTCTGTAGATTACAAAAAGTATAAACATGTAGAATTTTTGTCACAGAAGACTATTTTATTTTTAATGAATTAACACCGTATTGAAAAATAAAAAGTACAAAAAAGTACAAACTTTTCTGTCCCAATACATTATAAAACGTTTTATTTTAATAGCTTTAGAGGTACAGTTTTTGGTTACATGGGTGAATCGTATAGTGGTGAAGTGTGAAGGTTCAGTGCACTGGTCACCTGAGTAGTGTACATGGTGCCCAATAGATAGTTTTTCATTCCTCTTCCTCAGCCTCCCCACCTTCTGAGTCTCTAATGTCCATTATACCACTCTGTATGCCTTTGTGTACTCATAGCTTAGCTCCCACTTACAAATGAAAACATGTGGTATTTGCTTTTCCATTCCTGACTTATGTCACTTAGAATAATAGCCTCCGGTTCCATCTAAGTTGCTGC
Organism: Homo sapiens; assembly: GCF_000001405.40. NCBI lineage: Eukaryota > Metazoa > Chordata > Mammalia > Primates > Hominidae > Homo > Homo sapiens. Next base: position 121,379 of record NW_003315942.2, read on the forward strand.
AATAGACATTATTTCATTCTTTTTTATCCCTGAGTAGTACTCCATGGTGTATGTGTATGTATATACATATATATATATATATATCTCACATTTCATATATATACTCACATTTTTTATCCACTCATCAGTTGATAGGCACTTAGGTTGATTCCATATCCTTGCAATTGTGAATCGTGCTGCGATAAACATGTGCATACAGGTGTCTTTTTGACATAGTGACTTCTTTTCCTTTAGGCAGATACCCAATAGTTGTTCCAATCCAATTTTTAATTGGGGTAATTTAATCTTTTAAAAGTTGGTCCAAGTTAATTGTTGATAATATCAGGACTTTAAAAGAGAAACAGAAGTTCTTAACCTGAGTGTTTTTTCTTTCTTTTGAAAAAATATCAGTTTGAAGTTTTAAATTTCTATTTTATATCTCAAAGCTATAGTTTTGCTTGTGGGGTATAAAATTAAGTGGACAACTAAGACAGAGAACTTAGGTGCCAAAGATGACCATGTTTATACTCAATCACCCAATTTGGAACCACATCATCAAAGAAGCAGTTGCCAGTGTTCCCCCTAGTGTGAAGTTTCCACTTCTCTCAGTTAAAGCACCTGTCTGTCATCTCATTTAAAGCACCTACTTACTTCCTACCTATTCAAGTCTTGATTAAGCAAAATGCAGATTTTCCATATACAGGAAATTTGGCATAACCTTTCACTTTAAAGGTCAAATCAGGTCTCCATCATTTAAATTCATCAAAGAAAGAATATTTTGAAGTTGTTGACTTTGTTACTCATTCCCATTTTGCAATCATGTATTGTTATTCCCTTCCTCATTTAAAAAGGCTTCTTTTACCCCTTACCCTTGTTTAGGCTGCACCACCAAAGGTCATTGGATATCAATGGATGGGATTCACTCCTGGAGCTCCAGACTCACTCACACATGTGCATCAAGGATTCAGGATTCTCTCCATTTCTGCTTTCCTTAACTTTCCAAAGCCAGACCTTTATTCTCTTCTGTATTAGGATCTGGTCTGTCACTGGGCTTTTCTCATTCTATTCTAGAGCTTCTTAAACTTCAGTGTTCATCAGAAGCACCTGGAGGAGCTGGTTAAAACACAGATTGCTGGGCTTCACCCCAGAGTGTCTGATTTAACAGCTCTCAGGTGGGTCCTGAGAATTTACCTTTCTCAAAATTTTCCTGAGGATGATGGTGCTTCTGGTCTGGGAGTCACACTTTGGAAACTACTGTTCCAGTCCACAGTTGTCTCTTTGGAAACCGAATCTGATGATTCACTCCTCTGCTTGAAGATCTCTATGACTACAGAATAAAAGCCCCATCCCTTAGCCTGATGGGCTTCTCAGAAGTATTTATTGGTACCCTCCTTCACATGTTACATAGGCTTGTCACATTGAGCTTCTCATATGTGCTAAATATACCACCATTTTCTTGCCTTCTTGTTATTTTACATGCTATCCTCTTTGTCTAGGCTACCCATCCTCTGTCTACTTCTCAGATCTTTGAAAAACACCTGCTCAGTTGTTAGAACCCAGCTTACCTATCACTTCTCTAACTCTTGACACATTCCATGGGTGATCGTGATCTTATACTTACCTCCGGCTCTAGTCATTTTGTTGTACTGTACATGTATTAATGTACACAGCTATCTCTTAGGTGGCACATAGTCTCTATTCCTGATGTTTCCATCCAGGTGGATGAACTGTCCATTAGAGTAACTTTCTGGATCTCTCTCTGCCCCTTTCCTGCTTATTCTCCCTATGTAAACAGGAAGTGACTTTTGTGATCAGTAAGTCTGAGAGAGGAATCAGACATGTATATCTTAGTCCTTTCCACTTCCATTTCTTTTTGGCATCTGCCTGCTTAAAGAATATGCATGATCTATGCCTTACAACTCCTTGCTCCCATGATCTCTTTGACCTCTATTACTCCATGCCAGGTCTTGCCATTCCTTAAAAACATGTTCCCACCTCACGGTCATGTGCATTGCTTACAACACCCTACTCAATATCCATTTGGCTCACTCTTTCAGCTCCTACAGGTCTTTATTCAGATGTCATCTTCTAGGTGAGGTATTCTCTGATCTCTATTTAAAATTGCAACTTTCCTCCGCCATGCACCCTATCCCCCTTGCTTGCTTTATTTCTCTCCCATCTCTATTATCATTGAACACACAATATTTTACTTGTTTGTTGTATGTCATTCCCCAATAAAATAAAAACTCCAAGAGGTGAGGATTTTTGCTGGTTCTGTTTAGTAATTTCTCTAGCAGATGTAGAACATGGAAGGCACTCAATACAAATTGGAATACATGCTTTTGGTCATGAGATAAGGGTTAGTGATAAAAATAGCCTGCTTCCATAGGGATGCTTGGGGTCTTGACACCAGCCGGTGACTAGATATGTGTAATTCTCAGATTTAGTGTTAGGGAAACTTTGTTGACTTGTAGTTAGTCATGTCTTCCAATCATCCATTACCAATAATATTAGTAATATTGTAATAAATAAGAGACTCATCTCTACCATCACTGAGTTTATTGTCTAATACAGAAAATGGGCAAAATACAAGTAGTTACAGTAAAGTGTTGTAACCTGAACACAGATGTGCCTGCTCGCCACTTGAAAACTAAAATAAAGAGAGAAGAGAGTTGGTGGGAGGAAACGCAGGTTTATTTGGAGAACCAGCAGACCAAGAAGATGATAAACTGTTGTCCTAAAGTACCATCTTAAGTCAGTACAAATTGCAGATTATTTTTATGTTAAGAACAGGGGGAAGGAAAGGTGGGTGGGATCAAGAGGTGACTGACAACTGCAGACATCTGGGCACCAACAAGGGTCTGAGGAGGTTGAGAACTTCTATTTCCTTGGTCAGGTCACAATGCTCTTATAAATATTTAACAAAACATAGTTGTTTACATACTTTCCCTTTAATCACAGAGTTAGTTTCAAAAACTACATGATTGTTTCTTTGCATATGATATGGTTTGTATTTATGTCCCCACTCAAATTTCATGTGGAATTGTAATCCCTACTGTTGGAGAAGAGGCCTGCTGGAAGTTGATTGGATCATGAGGCCGACTTCCCCATTGCTGTTCTTGTGATAATGAATGAGTTCTCATGAGATCCGGTTGTTTAGAAGTGTGTAGCACCTCCCCTTTTGCTCTTTTGCCTCCTGCTCCAGCCATGTAAGATGTGCCTCCTTCCTCTTTGCCTTCTGCCATGATTGTAAGTTTCCTGAGGCCTCCTCAGCCATGCTTTCTGTACAGCCTGCAGAATCATGAGCCAATTAAACCTCTTTGCTTTATAAATTACCCAGTCTCAGGTAGTTTCTTACATTTAATAGCAATGCGAGAACGGACTAATTCAGCATATTATCTCACTGCTCTAAAATGATCCTAACCTACATGCAGGAATGGGTAAAGGCTCCTTAAACAAAAATGGAGTTATATATGTTAGTTCTTTTGCTGTTTCACTGTTACAGTGTGGTAAGTATTGCAATTGGAGCATTGCATGTGCTATAATCCAAACACGTGCTAAGTGACATAAGTATCAACGAGGGAGTAACAGGGATGGACAAAAAGGGACCAAATCCAGCTATAGAATACTTTCCTGACTAGATGAGGAATAAGCTCAGATTTGAAAGATGTATAGTCATTAGCTAAGCAAAGGAAAGGAAAAGAAGAAGTGGTTTAGGCAAAGGGAACCACATGTTCTAAAGCCTAGAGGACTGAGGGATCATGGTGCATAAGAAGAGTATGTATATAGGGTAGAGTGAATGATAACATGGGCACCAGCCAGACTATGGGAAGTCATGCTTGAGGTTTTAGACTTTATCCTTATGGGGATAAGAAACCACTGAAGAGTTGTAGGAAGAGACGTACGATATGATCAAATTTGGATTTCTGAAAGTTCAGTTCACCATAGCTATAAAGTGAAGAATGGATGGGTGGAAGGGAGTATGCCTGAGGATCAGGAGACTATTTAGGAGTCTGTGTTGTAGTCTTTGTGAGAGAAAATGGTGGCCTAGATTATGATGGTGGTAATGAGGATGAAGAAAGATAGATACATGTGAGAGGATTGAATTGACAGGACTTGGTACATTATTGGAAAGAAAGATGTCAGAAATTACTTATGTTTTTCTGCTTAAGCATTTTGGGTGGACATGGAGCCATTCAAAAGGTAGTTACCATAAAAAACTTGGTGTAGGATAGGATGCTCAGTTTCAGACCTATTGGGTTCCAGCAGCAATTCTCAACCTAGGAAAGTTCTTAAAAATAAAATAAATTAAATCTGTGAGTTATTAGTGATACTAAAATCATAATCAATTTGTAACCATTCCATTTATCCTTTTCTTCTCCTTCTTCTGCTCCTTCTTCATCATTGTCCTCATCTCCTTCTCCTTCTACTATTGTTTTATTCATGTTGGGGTTCCATAGACTATTAGTAGCTGATTATTTGTGGGAAGGGAAGGTATTTGAGTGTCTTACTAATTTTCTTTTATTAGGTTGGTACAAAAGTAATTGCAGTTTTTGTTAATATTATTTTTCTGACATATTTTCCAGAAACTTCAAATTTTCTGCTAAATTTTTCAGAACATTTGTTAATCTGAAAATATTAGATTAACTCTCATATGACAATTTATCTGGTTAACAAATTTTAGTTTGAGAGTTCACCCAACATTTTTAAATATTCTTCCATTATCTTTTAGTATCTATTCCTGATGTTGAGATGTTTGCTGTCTGCCTAGTTGTTATCCCTTGGAGATACAGTAGCCTTTGATATATGTGGATAATTGGTTCTAGGTCTCCCAACGTAACCAAAATTTGCATATACTCAAGTCCTGTATTCAGCCCTGCAGAACTCGTGTATACAAAAAGTTGACTCTCCATATATGCAAGTTTCACCTCCTGCAAATACTTCATTTTTGGTATATTTTCGATCTGCATTCATTTGAAAAAAAATCCATGTAAAAGTGGAACCTTCCAGTTCAAACCTGTGTTGTTCCAAGGGGCAACTGTAATCTCTCTTTTCTTTGTGAAAGCATTTAAAATTTACTCCTTATTGTGCTTTTTCTCTAGTTTTGCCACAATGAGTCTAGGTATGAATTTGTTTTTATTTCCTCCTTGGGACTTTTGTTTCTTCAATGTAGAATCATACCTTTAATATTGGAAATATTTTTGGTATTATGTCTGAATATTTCCCCTTTCCCATATTTTTTCTATTCTGTACCTCTTTAATTCCTGTTAGTTGTATGTTGTACCTTTTAAATCCTGTCCTTCGTATCTCCTAATTTGGTTCATCTTTTCCATCTTTTTGTATTTATGTGATGCATCCTGGACAATTTTCTCAGATATTTTCTTTCATTCCCCTTCCCAGCTGTTTCTAATCTGCTATTAATTTGTCCATACAGTTCTCCATTTCAGTGACTTAACTTTTTTTCATTTCTAGAGTTGGATATGCTTCTTTTTCAAAATTTGCTATTCTTTAATTCATAATATTGGATTTTTTCATTATTATTTTCAATCATTATTTTATTACTCCAATAATTTTAACCATATTTATGACCCCTTAATTTTGTTATATTATCTGAAGTTAGTGGGGTGCTAGTTCTTTTATTTGTTCATTTGCACACTCTCTGTCTTGGTGGTTCCTTTTCTTATGTAGTTGATCTTTTTTATCTGGGAGTTTATCTTCAGAAGAGGCTGCATTTTTTCTAGTGACAGTTCCTTGGGCTGTGGTTAATGAAAGAGTCCCTACATAGTTTCAAATTAGATTTTGCTGTGTCCTAGTTGTTTCAATGGCCTTCAAACAATTTTACATTATCATCTCAGGTTAGGGCTTTTCTCTTAGGTTCGTAATATAAATTTGCATCCTAGACCCATGGCACAAAACTTAAGCACAGGGCTTAAATTTTGATGCCTCAAGTAACTTTTGTTTGTTTTCCATCCAAAGAGTTGGCTAGAAGCAAACTTTCTTAATATTTAATTAAGGCTTTTGGTATGCTTTTAAAAATCCCCTTTTAAGTGATCAGGCAGTTCTTTAAGATATCAGGCTTTTGATGATACCTGGAATCAAGTTCTAGCTTCTTTACATTCTGTAGGCAGAAACCTCATTTTTCCTCCCATGAAAACATAAGAACTCAGCAGATCTACACCTGCACTTATTCCTCAACATCTCCTGGCTTCATTTCTTTGCTTTGATTTCCTTTTCAATTCTGGGATTGGAGCTTTTCTTTTATTCTTATAAATTTGACTATGCATTAAAATGTTTATTTTGTGACATTTTACCCAGAATTTCAATGGTTTTGTAGCAGCCAGGAAAGTCTAGCTCTCTGTTATGATTCTTTTAACTTGTTCAGTCCTGGGTTGTGGAGGTATGAGGAGCTATCCATCACACATGGCAATTTCAAAGCAACATGCAAAATACAATAATATAAGCGGAACACATGAAAGCTGGAGGACAGTGAGAGATTTTTGGTTTTGCATAATAGCTTTACTGAGACATAATTAACATGCCATACAACTCACTCATTTATGTGCAACTCAATGGTTTTTGTATTTACAGAGTTGTACAATTATCACCACAATCTTAGAAAATTTTCATTACCCCCAGAAGAAACCCCATATCCATTTGTATTCAGTCTCCATTTTGTCCCATTCACTCCCTTTAGCCCTAGGCAACCACTAATCTACTTTCTGTCTCTGTAGATTTGTCTATTCTGAACACTTCATATACATAAAATTACATTCTATGTGGTCCTCTGTGATTGGCTCCTTTCATGTAGCATAATGTTTTCAAGGTTTATCTATGTAGCATGTATCAGTATTTCATTCATTTTTATGGCCTAATAAAATCATGCACCACATAATGACCTTTTGGTCAATGACAGACCTCACACTTGACAGTGGTCCCATAAGATTATAATGCAGTTGAAAAATTCCTATTGCCTAGTGACATCACAGCCGTTGTAATATCATACAGTCATAAAGCAACTCATTACCTTTTCTGTGTTTAGGTACACACATATTTACCATTGTGTTATAGTTGCCTACAGTATTCAGTATAGTAACATGCTATACACGTTTGTATCCTAGGGACAGCCGGCTATATAGCATATAGCCTAAGTGTGTAGTAGGCTATACCATCTAAGTTTGTGTAAGTACACTCTATGATGTTCACACAATGATAAAATTACTCAATGATTAAATTCTTAGAATGTATCCCAATTGTTAAGTGACATATGATTGTATTCCATTGTATGGCTATCCTATATTTTATTTATGCATGAATCAGTTGATGAACATTTGTGTTGTTTCCACTTATTGGTTATTAAGAAACATGTTGCTCTGAACATTTGTGTACAAGTTTCTATGCGAGCATATGTTTTCAGTTCTTTGGGAGATATATTTAGCAGTGGAATGGCTGGGTCATATGGTAATTCTATGCTTAACCATTTTGGGAACTGCCAGACTATTTTCCAAAGCAGCTGCACCATTTAACATTCCTATCAACAGTGTATGAGGGTTCCAATTTCTCCATATCCTGGACAACACTTATTATCTGTATATTTTATTTTGGCCATTCTAATGCATGTGAAGTGGTATCTCATTGTGACTTTGATTTGCATTTCCCTGATGGCTAATGATATTGACCATCTTGTCATGTTTATTGGCCATTTGTATATCTTCTTTGGAGACATGTCTAATCAAATCCTTTGCCCATTTTTAAATTGGCTTATTTGTTTTTGTTAATTATTGAGTTGTAAGAGTTCTCAGAAGTCTTATGTTTAAGACTTGCAATTAATATATTTAAGATATAATCCCCTTAGATACATAATTTGCAAGCCTTTTTTTCCCCATTCTTTGGGTTGGAGAGGTTTTTTTTTTAATTGAAGTTCTCTGAGTTACAGAGAAAAGTCACAGAAGTAAAATATAATGGGACTTTTGAAGTACAGAAATATAAAGCCTCCTATTCATCCATTTAAGTCGCAGTAGAAACATGACATTTTAGTAAATAAGACATACAAAATACAGTGCAATTTATAACAGGACCAGTTGTGGAAGTGGACAGAGAAAAAAAGGAAACAGATGAGAGAGGTGGAAAGTTAAGAGGAGAGATAAATGCATAGTTCTGCCTTTTTGCTCAAACCAAGGATGGCATCATTATATAACACTGGGTGGAAGCCAGGATACCCAGGAAGAGCAAGACTGAAAATAAATGGTAGGAGAGATTCAAGGAATGCCTTGCTTTATATGCCTTTGGAGAGGCAAGGGTCTGGCCCAATGAGGTGGAAAGGGAGTCTACAAGGGAAGTGATCAACCAGAGAAGAGTGTGAGAGGGTTCAGAGGAAAGTATAGTGGTGGGATATTCGGAGCATTAACCAATGATCCAAAGTCTAGCCTCTTATGTTGACAATAATAAAACAGCTTGGGTGGTAGGAGCTAGGTTTCCCAACCCCAAACTGGAAATGGATTTCCTGTGCTGGGAAAGTTGGAGGGAACAGGTGAGCACCAATGTATTATCAAGTCTCTGAGGCCTATATCCCCATTGGTTCTTTGTGTCCTAACACCATATGCTGAGCTCTGGGATGGTGGCAGCAAACCACCATCGATTTGTGGAATTTAAAAGCTGACAAAATCTGTTCCCCATCTTTTGGATAGAGCTTACAGTCACAAGACCCCAGGAAAGACACAGCTGAGTGGTGTTTCTAAGCAAACATAGGGCTTTGGAAAGTTAGAGAGACTTTACCATGTTTGGTGAGCATTAAAAGAAGAAATTGCTGCCTGAAGTATCCAGGGGAATAGGTCTCTAAACAGCCTCACAATTTTCCACCACCCATGGTAGTGGAAAAACAGTATAATGACTTTCAAGCTCCCAAGGGCAGCATGGAGGTAGGGAAGGAAACCTGCATGGCAGTAAAGCTCAATCAGGCTGAGACATGCTTAGGAAATCAAGAATCTGTGGTTGCAGAATAGAACATGAATATTATAAACTGAGGCAATTTTAAAAAGGCGGATGGGGAGTGGTGATGAGAGGAAGAGACACTATTCTTTTATTCTCTTTTTATATCAAATAGTCAATCAATACTGTACCTAATGATTGATTTCAACCTTAATGCTCTTCCTAATTGTTTCCCTTCAAGTTAGACACCTGTGTTCACTGCTGTATTCTTAGCATCCAGAACAGAACTGGCTGGCTCAATAAATATTTAATGAATGAACGAATCCATAGGATTCCCACATCTTAGAGTTTTTGTCCACTTTTTTAAAAAAATTAATGTTGCAGGCTTGATTCCCTGGGAAGCAGACTCTAATAGGGAGGGTAGTGTGCTTAGCATTTATTTAGGATCAATATCTATGGAAGAAAGAAGAAGGAAGCAGGTTTGGGTAGAGGTGGAGGTTGAGCTACAATGCAGGTTCAAGCAGAGTCTCCCCACAGAGAGCACTGAAGTGAGGGAGCCCTTCACAGTTGTCCTAATATTGCCAGGCTTTCGTATTCATGCATCGATTAGTCATTGACATGGGCTGCCACAGAAAGGGGCAGGTCTTGGATCAGGTGACCCTCTGCAATGAAACAGTCTTGAGGAGCCTGACAGCTGGAGGGAGTCTACCAACAGCACTCCCAAAAGCTTGGGCAAGACATCTTTCATTGAAGAGGGACCTTGGCAGCATACCATGGTGTCCACCCCATGAAGCAACTATATCTTAGAAAACTTAAGTCCTTTGTCTTACACCTTGGATCCAAACTTAGTTTTGTCTGACTCCAGAGCCCATAATCAGAATAGAGTTTCTCTATTGTACATGGTGATGTAAACTCAGTCCTAAACTGGCGAGGGTGCTGGTTGGACTTGGGAAGAGTTATTCTCAGTGTTCTGGGTTAATGCAAAATGCAGGCCAAGGTGAAGGACCTTTGTGTGGCACTGACCCAATCCATCAAGATGAGTTCATGTCCTTTGTAGGGACACGGATGAAGCTGGAAACCATCATTCTGAGCAAACTATCGCAAGGACAAAAAACCAAACACCGCATATTCTCACTCATAGGTGGGAATTGAACAATGAGAACACATGGACACAGGAAGGGGAACATCTCACACTGGGGCCTGTTGTGGGGTGGGGGAAGGGGGGAGGGATAGCATTTGGAGATATACCTAATGTTAAATGATGAGTTACTGGGTGCAGCACACCAATATGGCACATGTATACATATGTAACTAACCTGCACGTTGTGCACCTGTACCCTAAAACTTAAAGTATAATAAAACAAAACAAAACAAAAGAAACACCCTATGCTCCACTCAGCTGGGAGGCCTGCACAGCAGTGATCTGTATTGAATGATATGATTAACTGATAATTGCTACTGTAACTAAGATTACAGTTTGACATTGCTGCCCACCTGCCTTTCTACCAGGGTGGTAGTTCACTAAAATATTATACAATCAGATAAAATGAATTAAACTCAGCTTGAATTGTAGAGTATATTAAAGTGATTCAAATTATGGCCATAAGATATTGATTAGATCAGTAGTTTGCAGAATGTGGCCCCCACCCAATAGAAACAACATCATCTAGGTACTTTATCAAAATTGAAATTTCCTGGTCCACCATATACTTACTGAATCAGAAACGGTGGTGGTGGTAGGGCCCAGGTGATTCTAATGTATGGTAGAGTTTGAGGAATACTGGACTACATGAAAATTAGTAGGAAAAAATAAAAATTGGGTTTATAATTAGCAAATAAATGTTAAATAAATGATTCTTTTAAAAACTATTTGTAAAATGACTACTCAAGTCAAGAAATAGTACATTGCCAGCACCTTGGATGCCTGTTTATCCCTTCTCACTCACACCCCAAAGCAAACACTTCGTTTTATTTTATGCTTTTAATATCTAGGAATACATCCCTGAGTACAAGTTTTTGAAGTTTGTGTTAATAAGCAAAATAGTAATAAATATTAAAAAATGATTGAGGCCACACGCAGTGGCTCACACCTGCAATCCCAGCACTTTGGGAGGCAGAGACGGGCATATCACCTGAGGTCAGGACTTCGAGACCAGCCTGGCCAACATGATGAAACCCCGTCTCTACTTAAAATACAAAAAAACTAGCCAGGCTTGGTGGCAGGTGCCTGTACTCCCAGCTACTCGGGAGGCTGAGGCAAAAGAATCGCTTGAACCTGGGAGGCGGAGGTTGCAGTGAGCCGAGATCAATCGCGCCACTGCACTCCAGCCTGGCCAACAAGAGCAAAACTCCATCACACACACACACACACACACACACACACACACACACACACACACACACACACACGATTGGACTATTTCCTTTACTTTGTTCATAGAACTTGTTTTACATAACGGACCTCAGGCTATCCAAATGATCACAACTTCCTAATTAGGAAGGTCTGAATTAATGAAGGTTCAAGATTGCCTCCTTGGGGGCTAATGTGTATGCAAGCTGCGACCCACTGGTAACAGCTTTACTATTTACTCTTCCCTGCCAGGGGATTAGTGGAATCTAAATTGAACAGTTAGGTATTTAAAACCACTCATGTGGTTTTAACCACTAAAAGGGTTGTTAAGCAAGTCTTCTTTAATTTTTTTTTTTGTTGAAAATATTATAAAATTGGTGTCTAAATGCTGACAGTCAATGGGCAACTTGGGAAATTACTCAATGTCTGTTTTGGGAAAACAGTAACTGGCACTTACATATCACATGTGATCTGAGTAGCGTTAACTCCTTCTCTAGAGTACAGGATTGTATGAAGTTGAGGTCCTACCCTTAATTCTTTCACGTTGAAATATATAGTTACAGGAAAGTGAGTTTAAATTGATTGCATGTTACTGTCTCCCTTTTAGAGTCATTTATTTTAAGAAGCACTGAAAGGCCGGGCGCGGTGGCTCACGCCTGTAATCCCAGCACTTTGGGAGGCCAAGACGGGTGGATCAGGAGGTCAGGAGATCGAGATCATCCTGGCTAACACGGTGAAACCTCGTCTCTACTAAAAATACAAAAAATTAGCCGGGCGTGGTGGCAGGCGCCTGTAGTCCCAGCTACTCGGGAGGCTGAGGCAGGAGAATGGTGTCAACCCGGGAGGCGGAGCTTGCAGTGAGCTGAGATCGCGCCACTGCACTCCAACCTGGGCGACAGAGCAAGACTCCGTCTCAAAAAAAAAAAAAAAAAAAGCACTGAAAAAACTTGCGTAAAGGCATCACACTCTGTTGGGCAATGGGGAAGGGGAAGGTGGGTTTCTCGCCCTCTGTCACTGATATGGTTTGGTTGTGTCCCCACCCAAATCTCACCCTGAATTGTGATAATCCCCACGTGTCAAGGGCACGGCCAGGTGGAGATAACTGAATCATGGGGGCGGTTTCCCCCGTATTGTTCTCATGGTAGTGAATTAGTCTCACGAAATCTAATGGTTTTATAAAGGGCAGTTCCCCTGCACAAGCTCTCTTGCCTGTCATCATGTAAGATGTGACTTTGCTCCTCATTTGCCTTCTGCCATGATCATGAGGCCTCCCCAGCCATGTGGACCTGTGAGTCAATTAAACCTCTTTCCTTTATAAATTACCCAGTTTCGGGTATGTCTTTATTAGCAGCATGAGAACAGACTAATACAGTCATTTACAAGCTATCTGGGGCTATAAGAAGGATATGCATGTCCTAGGTGAGGAATACTGCACAGGGGAAAGAGTCTGAGTGAGTAGGGCAGATTGTGCAATGTGAGGCTTTAGGGGATCCCAGGGGACAAGACTTGGGAGACACATTTGTAGAAAGGTTGGAGTTTTACAGTGATGCCACTGAATTATCAATGGAAGGATATGATTTCCTTCGTACAAGAAATCTGGAAAGTATATGGCATTTATAGACAGGTTTCCACTTCAAAAAATCAAGCAGCATATTATTTTGCCAGTTTAAAAGTTAACCCTGCTTGCTTTTTGTTTTGTCTTGTTTTGTTTTGAGACAGTCTCACTCTGTCACCCATGCAGGAGTACAATGGCGCGATCTCGGCTCACTGCAACCTCCAACTCCTGGGTTCAAGTGATTCTCCTGCCTCAGCCTCCCAAGTAGCTGAGACTACAGGTACCTGCCACCACACCTGGCTAATTTTTGTATTTTTAGTAGAGGCAGGGTTTCACCATGTTGGGCAGGCCAGTCTCGAACTCCTGACCTCAAATCACCCACCTTGGCCTCCCAAAGTGCTGGGATTACAGGCATGAGCCACCAAGCCCAGCCTGGTTGCTAACTATTTGGATAACTGTTTGGAATCACTACATTCCTGAGTGAGTGATTCAGACAACAGAGGTTTTTTAAAAAAACTTTAAAAAAATTTTTATCTTAATAGTTTTTTTGGGTACAGGTGGTTTTTGGTTACATAGGTAAGTTCATTAATGGTGATTTCTGAGATTCTGGTGCACCTGTTACCCACACAGTGTATACTGTGCCCAATATGCAGTCTTTTTTCACTCACCCTCCTTCCACCGTTTCCCCTGGAGTCCGCAAAGTCCATTATATTATTCTTATACCTTTGCATCCTCATAGCTTAGCTCCCACTTATAAGTGAGACCATATGATATTTGGTTTTCCATTCCTGAGTTACTTCACTTACTTACAATAATGGCCTCCAGCTCCAACCAAATTGCTGCAAAAGACATTACTTTGTTCCTGTTTATGGCTAAGTAGTATTCCATGGTATATATACTATTTTCTTTCTTTTTCTTTTTTTTTTTTTTTTGAGACAGAGTCTCGCTCTGTTGCCCAGGCTGGAGTGCAGCAGCGCGATCTCCGCTCACTGCAAGCTCCACCACCCGGGTTCATGCCATTCTCCTGACTCAGCCTCCCTAGTAGCTGGGACTACAGGCACCCACCACCACGCCCAGCTAATTTTTTTGTATTTTTAGTAGAGACAGGGTTTCACCGTGTTAGCCAGGATCGTCTCAATCTCCTGACTTCGTGATCCACCCGCCTCGGCCTCCCAAAGTGCTGGAATTATAGGCGTGAGCCACCGTGCCCGGCTATATACTACATTTTCTTTATCCACTCCTTGGTTGATGGGCACTTAGGTTGGTTCTGTATTTTTGCAATTGTTAATTGCAGACAACTGAGGTTTTAATGAAGATTATAGTGTTGAAGTAGGATATTTCTAATATTCTAGTCTTATGAGGACTTATAAAATTGGGTAGATTATCAAATCCTCAAATTACGGCATATTCATTTTGGCTTATATTTAAAATATTCCACCATCAAGACTGGGGAAAAAAGTTCATCAGAAACATACGCTGATATTTGGCTATATTGTTTGTTTTTGCATGCATTTATGCAATAAACAAACATCTGATTTCTTGCACAGTCCCTCAGATATTCTCCTCACATTAAAGATTCCACTTACTTATTCTGTGATTTCTCTTATTCTATGAGACAAAAATACAACAGAATGTCAGAAGAGCCAGCTGAAAATATTCCATGTGCAGAAATTTATTTTAAATTTTATTGCATCACATTATACAAGCATTAATCATGGCTTCATATTGATGACTATTTAAATGTGAAAATTCACTCATGTCAGTACTTTTTGGCTATTTACAAGTAAGGAATTTCTATGTACTTTATATATCTCTGTATTTGTATGTACATATGCAGGAATACATGACTATACATATGTACACACAGAAATACATCTATGGCCATACACATAGCTATAGATATGTCATATATAATAATCTTCTCAGAAAGGTCTAAAATTAAAAAAAAGGAAAGAAAAAGTTGTAAACAGGGTCTTGTCTGTGTTGTTGGTGACATGGAATTAGGACCATATGATGACATTCTAGGAATGTGTGTCCATGTGTCTGAATACCCTTTTTAGCCCAGTGTCTGTAAAATTCACATGGGATAGAATGCAAAAAAGGTAGCAAACAGGCTGAAAAACAGGCCCAGTATACAAGTTCCCCTTGATTTTAAAAACTTGAGAATGTAACTGCCCATAATGTGCATGCTTGCTTGGTCAAGAATGGTCTATGGATAGATAGCAATTGTGCGCTGGACTGCAACGTGATTTCACAGCAGTGTGACTCCAACGCCAGTCCTCTACTGGATGCTGCCCCTCCTGCGGCCGCCGGTATCTGCAACATGCACTGTGGTTGCATTTTTAGTCATTCACTTGAGTGTGCTTTTGCACAGCCAGAAGAAGTAAACAGAATTCAGGTCCTTGGCCTGGAAAGGGACTATTTTCTGGAAAGAGAAAAGAAGGCATAAAGATCTTATGCATACACAATTGCTTTAAAACATGAGGTGCAATAGTTTGTACTTACCATGCACCAAAGGCATTCAAAGAATTTGTAACCCCAAATGGAGTCAGGGATGGTATAAACATTTTTATGCTTGCTTTATGGGTGAACAGACTGAGTCAGAAGGGCAGTCTAAAGCAACATCACATCCTGCCAACTATCGGGGAAATAGAAACAGGCAGGCAGATACTATGCTTTCAAGCAAAAATTAGAAATGGCCTTTTTGGGAAGAAAGCAGCCAGTAGTGGTGGGGCCAGAAGAAATTCTTCATCAGTTACTGGTCCTGCAGCCCAGGACAGCCCTGTTGCACCTTGGTCTCTGGCCGCTGAGGCTTTCAGGAAGAATTCTCTTTGCTAATGTCTGCCTCCCACCCACCTAGAAAGAAGGGGCATGTTTCCCTGGGGATATTAAAGAAAACAGCCCGGCTGGAGGAAAAGAGAGAGGACGCTTTGTTTCAGGGAACTCCTAGGCCAATTCATGAAGACCTTGACTGATAGGCCAGAGTCTGGCAAGAAGGCAGAGAAGTGTTGCAGAAGGTATGTGGGAGGGGAAGATCAAGCAAAATTTGCAACGATTAAAGTAAAAAACAAGCTTCTTTTGGATTGGGAAGCTTCTAAGGAGTTTATTTTGATCCCTGTTACTGCAACAATGGTAAGCTTTGCTTCAGGGAGTTTAAAGCACCCATTCAACCTCGGAATGGCCTCAGACGCTGAGCACACCTCTCACCTACATGGTCACGGCCACTCGTTGTGGTGTGCTTTTCCATTCTTCTTCCTCTCCTTTCGTTCCTTCTGGAGACGTTCCAGTTCTGCTTCATACATCATCTCCTGAATCAAGTACTTCTCTCTTCTCATTCGATCCCTTAGGTCTTTTGGGAGGTCTGGGATCAGATATGAAATGAGGTGCTTTATACAAAACACGAGGTGCTAAAACAGAGGAGAATGTAACAGCGTCAGGTCTACTGTGCATCCTGAATGAGGTTAGAGAGTTGGCTGAAGAAGGATGTGGACCCTCTGGGGTATGTGGAGAGTGCAAAGTGACCAGGGGAGGCGTGTGTAATGCAAGATGATAGGACAGGTGAGGCCTGAACTGGTCTGATGGCACCACCTAAGGAATAGAAAGAGGAGTCTGGAAGGAAGGTGGGAAAAGAATGGTCAGATAATTAATTCAAAGGAGAGCCAGAAGAATGTATTCTGTGGAGTCAGAAAACCCAGGTTGAAGCTGGTAGCTTTCACTGCTTAAGGGCTGTCTGTCTACCTGAGGATGAATTATTTAATTTATCTGAGCCTCATTCCCCTCATCTATAAAGTGAGTATTGTGAGAATTATGAGAAAATGTTTAAAAATGCCTTGTAGACTGTCAAGTGCTTTACAAATCTTGGTTATAAGAATTATCAGTGGGCCTAGGGAAATGATCATTTCAGGAAGAAGCTTTTTTCTTTTTGGTAAACAGTCACAAATTCTTTACTTGAAATACTAATAGCTGGAATTCTAGAGTCACTGTCACTTCTGCTCATCTATATAATGGTGACCAAGGAAGTACTAGATGACAATTTAAGGGCTATTACAATTCTAAAGTATTAAATAGAGACTAAATCATGTTCAAATGATACTGCTAAGTATTCTTCGTTTTATTTAAAACTTGATAAATTTGGTGATGCATGGATGGCACAAAATTAAGAAGCTTTTCTGCATAGTTCTCATATTTTCAAATAGTTAATAACAAAATATTAAAAGAAAATGGAAAATTCTATTTGAAAAGCCAAATAAGGCAGCCTTTTAAAAAGTTTTGTCTGACAGATTTACAGCAGAATTCTACCAGAGGTACAATGAAGAGCTGATACCATTTCTATGGAAACTATTCCAAAAAATTAAAAAGGAGGGACTCCTCCTTAACTCATTTATGAGGCCAGTGTCATCCTGATACCAAAACCTGGCAGAGAGACAACAAAAAAACTTCAGGCCAATATCCCCGATGAACATTGATGCAAAAAGCCTCAATACAATACTGGCAAACCAAATCCAGCAGCACATCAAAAAGCTTATCTACCATGATCAAGTTGGCTTCATCCCTGGGATAAAAAGTTGGTTCAACATATGCAAATCAGTAAACATCACATAAGCATAAGTAATTCATCACATAAGCAGAACTAAAGACAAAAACCACATGATTATCTCAATAGCTGCAGAAAAGGTCTTTGATAACAATCCAACATCCCTTCATGTTAAAAATTCTCAATAAGCATTCCCCTTAAAAACCGGCACAAGACAAGGATGCCCTCTCTTACCACTCCTTTTCAACGCAGTATTGGAAGTTCTGGCCCAGGCAGTCAGGCAAGAGAAATAAATAAAGGGTATTCAAATAGGAAGAGAGGAAGTCAAATTATCTTTTTTTTGCAGATGACCTGATCCCGTGTCTAGAAAATCCCATCATCTTGGCCCAAAAGCTTCTTAAGCTGATAAGCAACTTCAGCAGAGTCTCAGGATACAAAATCAATGTGCAAAAATCATTAGTATTCCTAACCACTAACAACAGGCAAGCAGAAAGCCAAATCATGGATGAACTCCCATTCACAACTGCTGCAAAAGAATAAAATACCTAGGAATACAGCTAACAAGAAAAGTGAATGACTTCTTCAAGAACTACAGACCACTGCTCAAGGAAATCAGAAAGGACACAAGCAGATGGAAAAATGTTCCATGCTCATGGATAGAAAGAATCAATATTGTGAAAACGGCCATCTGCCCAAAGTAATTTATAGATTCAATGCTATTCCCATTAAACTACCATTGACACTCTTCACAGAATTAGAAGAAACTCTTTTAAAATTCATGTGGAACCAAAAAAGAGTCCAAATAGCCAAGACAAGACTAAGCAAAAAGAACAAAGCTGGAAGCATCACACTACCCAACTTCAAATTATACTAAAAGGCTACAGTAACCAAAACAGCATGGTACTAGTACAAAAACAGACACATAGACCAATGGAACAGATTAGAGATCTCAGATATAAGACCACACATCTACAACCATCTGATCTTTGAAAAACCTGACAAAAACAAGCAATGGGGGAAAGGATTCCCTACTTAATAAATGGTTTTGGGAGAACTGGCTAGCCATATGCAGAAAATCGAAACTGAACCCCTTCCTTACACCTTATATAAAAATTAACTCAAGATGGATTAAAGACTTAAATGTAAAGCCCCAAACTATAAAAATCCTAGAAGAAAATCTAGGCAATGCCATTCAGGATGTAGGCATGGGCAAAAATTTCATGATGAAAACACCAAAAGCAATTGCAACAAAAGAAAAAATTGACAAATGGGATCTAATTAAATGAAAGTACTTCTGCACAGCACAAAAAAACTATCATCAGAGCAAACAGTAACCTATAGAATGGGAGAACATTTTTGTAATCTATCCATCTAACAAAGGTCTGATATCCAGAGTCTACAAGGAACTTAAACACATCTACAAAAAAAATACCAAGCAACCCCATTAAAAAGTGGGCAAAAGACATAAACAGACATTCTTCAAAAGAAGACATTCATGCAGCCAACAAACATATGAAAAAAAGCTCAACATTATTGATAATTAAAGAACTGCAAATAAAAATCACAATGAGATACCATCTTACACCAGTCAGAATGTTGATTATTTAAAAGTCCAGAAACAACAGATGCTGGCAAGGTTTCAGAGAAAAAGGAACACTTTTACACTGTTGGTGGGAGTATAAATTAGTTCAACCATTGTGGAAGACAGTGTGGCAATTCCTCAGTGATTTACAAGCAGAAATACCATTTTACCCAGCAATTCTATAACTTGTATGGCAAAGGACACAAACAGATACCTCTCAAAAGAAGATATACAAGCAGCCAAAAATAATATGAAAAGATGCTCAGAATCTCTAAGGAGATTAGAGAAATGCAAATCAAAACCACAATGAAATATTATCTCATACCAGTCAGTATGGCGCTTATTAGAAAGGAATATAAATCATTCTATTATAAACATACATGCATGCATATGTTCATTGCAGCACTATTCACAATAGCAAAGGCATAGAATCAACCCAAATGCCCATCAATGATAGGCTGGATAAAAAAATGTGGTACATATACACCATGAAATACTATGCAACCATAAAAAGGGATGAGATAATGTCCTTTGCAGGGACATGGACAGAACTGGAAGCTGTTATCCTCAGCAAACTGACAAAGGAACAGAAAACCAAATACCACATGTTCTCACTTATAAGTGGGAGCTGAATGATGAGAACACATGGACACATGGTGGGAAACAACACACAAAGGGGCCTGTTGGGGGTGGGGGTGGGGGAAGGGAGAGCATCAGAAAGAATAGCTAAGGGATGCTGAGCTTAATACCTGGGTGACGGGTTGATCTGTGCAGCAGATGACCGTGGCACACATTTACCTGTGTAACAAACCTGTATGTCCTGCACATGTACCCTGGAACTTAAAATAAAAAAATCCCAAACAAACAACAAGAAGTTTTGTCTGAAAAATTTTAAGACAGTGATGGGTTAAAAATATCTTCTTTAAAGAGAGAGTGTGCCATTGGTAAGATAATTTCCAGGGAAGAGCAGCTTAATATTTTCTTCTTTTGGTTCCCTGGACTGAAGGAAAAAGCAGTGATAGAATAGTCTTGAAGAGGTCTAGGAAACTTTAGATCCAAGCCGAGAGGCAACCTTGGCTTTTATTAATCTGGCTTTAATATATGTGACAAGAGATGAAATTTCCACTTATGACTAGAGTCATAGAAATGCAAACTATTTTTACAGCAATTTTCTTAAACCCTGAAAGAAAATAGATAATATATTTTTATTGACATATAATATAGACAATTGCTAGACAGATTTTACTTTATAATTCCATTTTGAGTCTTAGCTAATAAATACTTACTTGGATGCTTGAATATAAATAATTCCGTGATGATACACAACCAGAAATACCACTTGTAATACCCAGTCCTATTGGAAAATGCTTATGATCATGTTGGGAAATCCTGATAACTATTTGAAAATCATAAATTAACTATATGAATCAGTATATTTCAATATGTGTGGTAATGATGATGGCAATAATTGGAGACATTTAGAAAGAGTGAATCTCCAACTTGACAAAAACAAGCAGTGGGGGAAGGATTCCTTGTTCAATAAATGGTGCTGAGATAACTGGCTATCCATATGCAGAAGAATGAAACTGGACTTCTACCTATCATCATAAACAAAATTTAACTCAAGATGAATTAAAGACTTACATGTAAGACCTCAACTATAAAAATGCTAGAAGAAAACCTAGGAAATACCCTTCTCAATACTGGCCTGGGCAAAGAATTTATGGTGAAGTCCTGAAAAGCAATTGCAACAAAAACAAAAATTGCTA
This sequence comes from Homo sapiens, assembly GCF_000001405.40. Classification (NCBI taxonomy): domain Eukaryota; kingdom Metazoa; phylum Chordata; class Mammalia; order Primates; family Hominidae; genus Homo; species Homo sapiens. Next base: position 142,073 of record NW_003315942.2, read on the forward strand.
AGTCAAATCTAATTAAAGAGCTTCTGCACAGCAAGAGAAACTGTCAAAGAAGTAAACAGACACCGTACAGAATGGGAGAAAATATTTGCAAACTATGCACCCAATAAAGGTCTAATACCCAGAATCTGTAAGGAACTTAAACAAATCAACATGTAAAAAACAAATAACCCCATTAAAAAGTGGTCAAAGGACACAAACAGATACTTCTCAAAAGAAGATATAGAAGCAGACAACAATAATATGAAAAAATGCTCAGAATCTCTAAGGAAATTAGAGAAATGCAAATCAAAACCACAATGAGACACCATCTCACACCAGTCAGTACGGCTTTTATTAGAAAGTCAGGCCAAGTGCAGTGGCTCACGCCTGTAATCCCAGCACTTTGGGAGGCCAAGGCGGATGGATCATGAGGTCAGGTTAAGACCAGCCTGGCCAAGACAGTGAAACCCCGTCTCCACTAAAAATACAAAAATTAGCCAGGTGTGGTAGCGGGTGCCTGTAATCCCACCTACTCAGGAGGCTGAGGCAGAGAATTACTTGAACCTGGGAGGCAGAGGTTGCAGTGAGCCGAGATTGTGCCATTGCACTCCAGCCTGGGCGACAGAGAGAGAATCAGTCTTAAAAAAAAAAAAAAAAAAAAAAAAAAAGTAAACAAATTAACAGATGCTGGCGAGGCTTCAGAGAAAAGGGGACACCTGCACACTGTTGGTGGAAAGGTAAATTAGTCCAACTACTGTGTAGTCTGGAGATTTCTCAAAGAACAAAGGGCTTAACTACCATTCAACCCAGCAATCCCATTTCTGGGTATATACTCAAAAGAAAATAAAGCATTCTACCAAAAAGACACATGTACTCATATGTCAATCACAGGACTATTCACAATAGCAAAGACATGGAATCAACCTGGGTGCCCATCAATGGTGGACCAGATAGAGAAAATGTGGTATGTATACACCATGGAATACTATGTGGCCATAAAAAAGAATGAAACCATGTCCTTTGCAGCAACATGGATGTAGCTGGAGGCCATTATCTTAAGTGAAATAATGTAGAAACTGAAAACTAAACACTGCAAGTTCTTATTGTACGTACTTAGAGTGGAAGCTAAACACTGGGTACACATGGACATAAAGATGAGAACAACAGACACTGGGGACTACTATAGAGGGGAGAGGGGGAGGGGACAAGGGCTGAATAACTACCTATTGAATACTATGCTCGCTACCTGGGTGGTGGGTTCAGTCGCACCCCAAACCTCAACATCATGCAATGTAACTTTGTAACAAACTTGCACATGTACCCACTGTATCTAAAATAAAAGTTGAAAAAGAAAAAGAAAAAAAGAATGAATCTTACTGGGCTGATGTTTTCCAAATGTTTCCAAATTATGGTCCCAGAATGCCTATAGTCAGAATCATTACAACGAGCTCATGAAAAACAAGCCACAGACATGGTATGTCAGAATATCTGGGAGTGAGGATGGAAAAACTGCATTTTTGCTAAAGTTTAAGAACTATGGCCCCAGAAAATTACATTTAGGAGCAACGAGTTCAGATTTGTCCATTAAAAACCAACTATGGACTTTCAAATATGTCTTGGAAAAATCAAATACTTCAATTAAGAAAAAAGATCAAAAAGAGGTTACATAATATGACACTACTACTTCTGGAAATATAGATAATCACATTCAAAATCCCCATCACTTATTTTTATTCATTACTCCTACTGACTTCATTATGTCAAAGGAAATAAAGAATTTGGCTGAGGAAACTTACCTCAAAGACAATGATAAAAGCTAATCGAGCAGCTAGGACATGCCAAAACTGCAGTGTGTAGCCATAGGGCACCAGTGAATGAGGCGGGTCACGGTAGTCCCGGTATCTATAAAGACACAGAAAAATGTTGCATTCAAACTATGATTTTTCTGATTCTCAAATCTCTTCCATTCTCATTATATAGTCCTCATTCAATAGGAGGGAAATTTGAAGTTTCTCTATACTAGATATCTGTTGTTTTGCTTGTCCAGCATTTTTCTTCTGATAAAATAATATCTCTTCTCTGGGGAATCATCTGTGTGGGTTGACTAGGACTTCCCCCTCCACCTGCCTGATCTCAGCTCAAAAGATGAGCCAGACCTGATCAGTGACATCATCAAGATGTCTGCCAGAACTATCACTTAGTGAATGATCACTAAGCCCACAGAAGGCAAAAGCCTGGGACTCCTGGTGGCCTTGTATGGAGAGAGAGAGCCTGCTTGAGAAGGAAGTCAAGAAAACAAAGCAGAGACAGCAGAGAGGCAGCATCCTGCTGACACTGCTTGAGGCCTGGGATCCGGCCATTACTGAAGCTCATATCACCCCTTGACTCTCCCAGCTAACTGAACAATTTTTTGTTGTTTAAGTCAGTTTACCCTGGATTTCTGCCACTTGCCACTAGAAGAGTCCTTCCTAATGTATCCTCCAGCTATCACTTTTGAGTCGGCATAAAATGCCACAAATGTTTGCCGAATACCTGTTGGGGACCAGGCACTATTCAGAGAACTTTAATCCATGTGACTCCATTAAAGTAATACTTTAATAATACAACAAGCTCTCATAAATCCACTATGAAGCCCAAGAACTAAAACATTACCAGGAACTTACATCAATTGCTTCCCTTACCCTGAATTTCATTTTTATTTTTAACTTATATGTATATGCATTTGTCTGAATATTGTACTATTTAGTTTGTTTTTGAACTTTATAGAAAGGGTACTATACTATATGTAGTTTGCTGGGGCTTGCTTTTTTTACTATTATGTCACTAAGATTCATTCACATTATTGCATGTGGTTTATTTTTATTGCTGTATAATAGACTCTAGTGTGACTATATTATGGTTGTTTTATATAGCATATAAGTATACACTTACAGGCTGGTCATTCCTATATTTTCTTTTCTTTTATGTTGAGACAGAATCTCGCTCTGTCACCCAGGCTGGAGTGCAGTGGTGCGATCTTGGCTCACTGCAATCTCTGCCTCCCAGACTCAAGTGATACTCCTACCTCCCAAGTAGCTGGGACTACAGGTGTGCACAAAAATGCCTGGCTAATTTTTTTGTATTTTTGGTAGAGACAGGGTTTTACCATGTTGCCCAGGCTGGTCTCAAACTCTTGACCTTAAGCTATCTACTCACCTCAGCCTCCCAAAGTGCTGGGATTACAGGGTGAGCCACTGCACCTGGCCTCTATATTTTCTTTCACTTTCCCTAACCATGGAAAGCTTTGAAAAAGAAAGCTCCATCAATGATAGACTGGATTAAGAAAATGTGGCACAGATACACCATGGAATACTATGCAGCCATAAAAAAGGATGAGTTCATGTCCTTTGTAGGGACATGGATGAAGCTGGAAACCATCATTCTCAGCAAACTATCTCAAGGACAAAAAACCAAACACCGCATGTTCTCATTCATAGGTGGGAACTGAACAATGAGAACACTTGGACACAGGAAGGGGAACATCACACACCGGGGCCTGTCGTGGGGTGGGGGGAGGGGGGAGGGATAGCATTAGGAGATATACCTAATGTAAATGATGAGTTAATGGGTGCAGCACACCAACATGGCACATGTATACATATGTAACAAACCTGCATGCTGTGCACATGTACTCTAGAACTTAAAGTATAAAAAGATAAATAAATAAATAAAAAGAAAGCTCCAGTCCACTCACTTCAGCAAATTCCCTTTGGGTAAAAGTTGGCTGCAATGCTCTGTGTACCACTTCTTTCTGCCTTAGAATACCAAATATTCTTCCCAGGTCATTAATGTATTTGAGAAGGTGTTTTTAAATTTTTCTCTACATGTTTAGATATTTTCAGCCCGCAAGCTGATCTGGGTGCCTCACCTGCTATATGACTGAAAACAAACCTGAAAATATTATTTTACATGATTTTAATTAGAAATTTTAAAATGTTTTCTTTGGGGGACTTTTAAGAAAAATGCTAAACAAAACAATCATAATTTAACTTAATGGTGCCAGCATTAATACCTCCATTCACATTAATAATTTCTGGAATATACTTTTATGATACTATGTGAGACAGGCAGGAAGAATTATGAGCCAGGAAGCAGAAGAGGAGAAAGACTCTGTATTTTTATCTTATTTTCAAATGATTACAAAGTTTTTAACTCCAAATAATAGTTGGCATTTTATTTTGAAGCATTTCATACTTAGGATCCTGTATATGTCTAACAATGCTTGCTAAATAATTTCATGTACGAAATGGTCTGGACAAGCAAGTGGGAAATCTACTGAAGAAAGTATCAATTGTTGCTTAATTGCTTGCTTCTCCACTAGACCCCAACAGAGAGCGGCACTAGATTATATTCCAGCCAGTCTTTCTCCCCATCTTACTTGTTACTCCATGTGGGAAAGGAAATAAGCCATCTGATGAGATGTGACAGCCAATGAGACCTGGGAACTTGGCATGAGTGTTTAAAGGGGTGGAGGGTATGCTGTCACTGCACAGAAATGGGGAGCCCCTGGCTTCTCTCACCTTCACCTTCTGTAAGATGAGGGACTGAAGTGGATCATTACAAAAGTCCCTATGTCAAAGCATCTAGGACTCCATGGCTGTTCTTCCTTGTGGCTTTGATTACAGGGAGAACATAGAATGTCATGATAGGGAATCTCCAAAATTCTTTGTTTTGTTTTTGAGACAAGGTCTTGCTCCATAGTTTGAATGCAGTGGTGCTATCATAGCTCACTGCAGCCTTGACTGCCTGGACTTAAGTGATCCTCCCAACTTGGCCTCCTCAAGTGCTGGGATTACAGGTGTGAGCCCACAAAATTCTTATAACGTCAAAGTATTAAGAGAAAAAGGTGCCATCTGGACTCTTCAAGAACTGTGCACAAGTAATCTCATTGAGCTTTTAGTGAATGGTTTTATCATTTGTCAGATGAGATAATATTGCCTAACTTAGAAGGCTGATGTGACGATTAAATGGAGTAACAGTTTCTGGCACAGAGTAGGTGCTCAACAAATTCTCCTTCATGTACGTTTGTATAGATACACATCAAGAGGCACAGTTTAATTCATTTCCTTTTAGAGGGAGAGAAAGAAAGAGAGAATGAGCACATGTTGCAGAGGCTACTGTGGTGGAACCTGAAATGAACTGGGCCTCTTTCCACAGGCTTCTGAGTTGTTTAACATTTAGAAATGTGATGTGATATACTCTGGGCAAGAGAGAGAAGCAGAACAAAGACAAGTGCCCTCAACAGCTGTCGCTCAACCCGCCTGGGGATTGTCTGTCCCTGAGTCCCTGGAGCAGCGGTATAACCTTCACTACTATATTTTTAGTTTTTCCCTTTAAGCTAGCAGTTCTCAATTCTGACTGCACCTGGTTTCTGAGTTCCACTCCCTGACATTCTGTTTTAATTGGTTTGGGTTGTATCCCGGGCAAGAGAAGGCTTGAAAATTCTTCATGTGCTTTTAATGCACTGTTGAGATTGACAGTCACTGCTTTAAACACACTCAGCCAGAAGGGGCCTTCAGAGTAAAACCTCCCCACGGTGGAGCCAGCCCAGCTCAGGCAGAGCCACGCTGGGTGCCACACTCACCTGCAGTACTTAAGAGGAGTCCCCGAGAACTCACTGCCATCAGATTCAGGCTCAGATCGGTTCTCAAAGTCAGAAATTCGAAATACAGACAAGCTGGCATTCACATAGCCAACCATGCACCTATAAGAGGAGGCACATTCTACCATTAGAACACTCATCACCTTCTCTGTATCCAGTTCCCTGAAGACCCTGCTTCCCAGACGTCACTGCAATTGTAAATGCCTTTAACTGGCCCTTCCTTGTCAACCAGGACTCAGGTTGGGATACGCTGGAAAGCCCTGGGCATGTTGAATCAGGAACAAGTTGCTTGTTTTGGTTCTCATCCTTTTTCTGCAGAATCATCATATAGAACATCTCTACCCCAATTAATGTTTCAGTGAAATAGGTAAAAAGCAGCATTACATGATGGGCATAAATTGTATGTAAGCCACAGCTTCTTTTGTTGATGATACACATAAACACAGTTCCTCATTAATGGTTTCATATATATTTATAGATATTCTCAAAATGTTCCAAATATGATTGGTGTGCATATGATCCCCCCAACTCATATCCCATGCTACAGTCCTGTTAGACTATATTCCCTGAAAGCTTCTGATGTTTTCATGCCTCTGCTTGTTATCTTTTCTGTTAGAATTCCCTACCTCTTCCTTTACAAGTGGAAATAGTATTTATCCTTCAGCGGCCAACTGAAACACCACTCCTACTAGGAAGACAACCTAATCACTCCAGTCACAACATCTCACTCCTTTCCCTCTCTCTGTAGTGCCACCATACTTACTTAGTTCACCATTACCAGATCGCTTGTACTAGAGTTGGCAGCATATATGTATGCCCTCTCCTTTGGACTGCAATTTTTTGGGAGCAGAGCAGGTATCTTAGGTATTTGTGTATCCTATGACTTAGGACAGTCTTGTGCAGTGTAGGAATCCCATAAATATTGAATCGATCTGATTGGAGGAAACTAAAGTATGAGATTCTATTGATCATTCTAGATTGAATGGGTAGATAAAATCAAGATTTAATCATTCTGTCAATAATTCCATTCAAGAAAAAGCCCATTTTAAAAGTATCATAGCAAGTAGCACTCTTAGAAACATCTTTTCTCCAAGTCTCTAAACAGTTTTACATATTGAACATTGTGGTTAACACATGCACTTACTGAAATAACAATGTTTGAAACTTTGGGTGAAATTAGCACTTAGATACATCCTGTATACATTTTTCTTTAAATAGTGTTTTACATACAAAAGCTTGGGTTTTGGGGTCAAATCTTAGTTCTGCTGGTTTCTAGTCATGTAATATTGGCACGTTATATAACTTCTTACTTCTTCTTTTTTTTTCTGAGACAGGGCCTTGCTCTGTTGCTCATTGCTGGAGTGCAGTGGTATGATCATGGCTCACTGCAGCTTTGACCTCCCAGGCTCAAACGATCCTCCCACCTCAGACTCCTGAATAGCTGGGACTACAGGCATGTGTCACCACACCCGATTTACGTAACTTCTTAAAGTGACAGAAGTTCCCACCTCATAGGGTCCTTGAGGGGATTATATTAAACAATGAATGTATAGCATGTGATAAGATCTTAGCCTATAAGTAAGATAAACATGAGTGGTGATTATTCATTTTATTTATTTCTTGCATCTAGCAGGGGGTCAATAAGTAATTACTGATTGAATGAATAAATCATGATCTTCAGATTCTCTTCATTAACAAGTCTGGCATGATTATTCCAAGCTGCTGAACACTAAACCAAAATGATGACATGAACACAGTTCTGAGAACACATGGGTTCTGCATGTTATCGTGCTCAAGACAAATCACTGGCTTTATCATGGCCTTAAAAAAAATGAACCAAGCTGAAGGACCCATTTGTCAAGTCACTCGTGGGTGAAAACAAATGGTCAGGGAGTGTGTAACATGCCTTAATCCAACTGGCAGCAGGACTCCCCTACTGAAAGGGTAATTTGGAATGATGTCTCCCTTACCTAGGAACTGTCTAGACCTGGACATGAAAATAAATTAGTGCCTTGAGGATGATTAGCTGTCACAGAGAGGGAGTAAGTTTTAGCAGAGTCTTTCTAGAGATCTGAGCTGTGGGAAGGGAAAGGTGTTCTGGGAACTGGTGAAAAAAAAAGGCCCAGCACTGAAATGGAATATTCATAACCCCTCCTGCACTCTTATCTCACAGACCAGCCCCGAGGCTTTATCAAGACTAACGCTACTGTCCATTGGTTGTTCTGCTCAAAAACTCCATTAAGAAAATTTAAATTTAAATAAAACACCTGTTTCATGGACCTAATGCATGAATGACAGTCATAAATCCAAGTTGAAAATGTGTCTTTAGAGGGTGGTTACTCCTGAGTGCAAAGCATTAAATGTGTACCTAGTACAGGAACACACAGTTATCAGCTGTGTACATCTTCCTTCCATATCATTTCCATAATGGGGGAAAAGATGCACGGACAGCTAGACGTTTCACTAATTCCTTTCACCTTTTGTAGACTGTTAGCTATTGTCAATATCAAATAGTGAAAGTTGTCATCAATTCAGGCAAGTGAGATTTATCACATTTTGCTGTATAAAATTCAGCTAGTGGCATGCAAGTGTCAACTCACTGACCCATTGTTATAGCAGGAAGGTCACAGGTAGTAGAGAGCCCATGTCTATCACTGGGTTTACTGGCAGGAATGCTATATACCCTCACTGTGACCCACCACCAGCTCTCAATGAGACAGAGGGAGATGAGGCTACACTGATGATCAGGGAGAATTGAGAAGTACCAAGAAAAAAGTAACAGACGAAGGGTTTCCTGTGAATATAAAGTCAGTTTTCTTAAAGGAATGGTAGATGGCCTCTGTAGGCACTTCCAAGAAAGATCTAGAAAATGTCTTCTACAGGGTAGTGCCATTTGGATTAGGATGCATATCTCTTCCATGTAACTTCTGAGAAGACCACACACTCATTTAAATGTGAGAATTCTACCGTGAAAGCCACTCACCACTTATAATTTTCAATCCTTTAATACATAAGAAAGGGATGAGCCAGCAATCACTGTACTACCCTAAAGGCTTATGACTTTCTATACCTTGACAATTCTGCTACTCTTATGAGTTCAATAATTTCTAAAGCATTTCTAAATTGGAAAAATAAAAAAAATCTGAAAAGTAATAGAGTGGCCAGTGAGGCAGAAAATAAGATTCATGAAGAAACATACATAAATTTAACTACTTGAAAACATGAAAAATGACTAATGGATTAGAAAACAAAAGGCAGATCCATAAATTGAAAGTGGCAGAAGGCTCCTAAGTCAAAGAGAAAGGTTAAAAAAGAAAGAAAGAAAAGAAAAGCTCCAAAGAGCCCAGTAAAATTGATACAAGGAGGCTATGAGATACACTTTAATCACTGTGGACATTGTCTTAAATCTACCAGGTTGTTAAAATTCTAAATCTTTGATTCACTATCAATTGTGCATAAAGGTTCCCATTTTGTTTTTGGTTCCCCCTAAAACAAGATAGATTTCACCATATTTGAATTTGGGAAAGAACTGAAACACCATTACGACGGAAAATCCAGGGGGTTTACTGTTAAGGGACAGCCTCAAGGGCTGTGAGGTGCGGGATGGAGAGTGAGTCGAGGCTCCACCTTCACATGGGCTCCCAGAGTTACTATGCCTTGTGATTCTGGACTTAACCTCTTTTAATCTCTTCCTGCTCCTCAAAGTGAAGATTATAATGCACATCCCACTCCCAGGGCTGTTTTGAGAATCAACTAAAAACACATGTGAAAGTGGTTTGAGTGAAAGTAAGCTTTTTCAGGCTAAGCCAAGCAGAGAATGTCAACGATAGTTGCAATTAGAAAGAAATGCCTGGGCAAAATAACATGTCTTTACATTTCTCTTAAAATGGGATGGTATGCTCACTAAAAGTTGCTAGATAATTAGTGTGTCATGGCCACATGCTTATAGTAGTCAAGAACTTTACAGAAGCCTTTTCAAATAACTGGATTGTGAGCTTTATGACATTCCTCAATCATCCACACCTTAGCCCATTTATGTAGGATTCATAATGAATTGGACCCAGGCCAGGTTTGCATGAGTTCAGTTGATTTGCTTTGGTGGCACTTAACTCCTTGGGGTCGATCAGCTACAATGGCTGTAGAGGATGAATCAATCTGGCTCAGGCTAGTAAACCAGGGCTGCTTGTATAAGTAGACAGCAGCCCATGTAGGGTGATTTCTGGGTTATTAAGAAGACCCTGTGATCCCCAAACACACCTCACTCTGACCTATAGACATCAAAATCCCATAATAAGAGTTTAACTATTTTGGCTTTAACCAAACAGGGATTTTTAAAGCATGTTAAGACTTCTTGCCCTTTCTCCAAGGTACAGGAATGAAACTAGGGGATGTTATAATTTTGACTTATCTTTATCTGACCATATATAGCGTGCCCTGGCTTTGCAAACCATTGAGGCAATGCCATAGAATTGATCCTCCCAAGGAGTTTAGTCCACTCAGCTTGCTTGGGGTAATATAGGCATTGGTCAGGTCAATACCCATGAAAAAGTCATTCACTTACTTATTCCACGAATACTTATTGAGGACCTACTGGGTACTCAGTACCTAGTTCCGTATTTCCTATGTAAGATCTGCAGAGTTTACACATAATGACACAATGTAAATCAGATTGTAACTGTCCTTTTGCAAACTCATAAAATGATATAACTATATATACATCATATGCTACTGTTTTGGTATACACATTAGCATATCACACATTTCTAAATTCATAGTGGGCAGAGGTCAGGGGTGGGGAAAATGATTAATTGCCACTCTTACATTGGATTCCATCTAAAACCTGTCTGACTTGTATGTCCTCCAACTCTTTGGTAGATGAGGACATGTTTTCTTTGGCTGACAGTGTTATTATTATTATTTATAATAAATCATAATTCCACCTCCCCTATCACAGGCCTCTCCTTCTGGGCATGTATTCCATATTCTCCAGTGCAGTCTTCTGTCTGAGTGTCCAACCTCAAAAAATGGCTAGGAAATAGAAACTGTATAGTGGTTTTATAGCAAACTTACTTTTGCCCAGCTTCTCCTTGGCCTGCACAAGGTCCATACTTATAAGCATACACCAAGCGAGGGATAAAGTCAGATGTTATCGCTATGACAAATGCATTTGTGATAACAGAGA